>NC_000023.11:33641055-33791412 GCF_000001405.40 Homo sapiens
CACAGCAAAAGAAACTACCATCAGAGTGAACAGGCAACCTACAGAATGGGAGAAAATTTTTGCAATCTACTCATCTGACAAGGGGCTGATATCCAGAATCTACAAAGACCTCAAACAAATTTACAAGAAAACAACAAACAACCCCGTCAACAAGTGGGCGAAGGATATGAACAGACACTTCTCAAAAGAAGACATTTATGCAGCCCACAGACACATGAAAAAATGCTCATCATCACTGGCCATCAGAGAAATGCAAATCAAAACCACAATGAGATACCATCTCACACCAGTTAGAATGGCGATCATTAAAAAGTCAGGAAACAACAGGTGCTAGAGAGGATGTGGAGAAACAGGAACACTTTTACACTGTTGGTGGGACTGTAAACTAGTTCAACCATTGTGGAAGACAGTGTGGCGATTCCTCAAAGATCTAGAACTATGAACACATAATTCTTTAAAAAATATAGATGGCTGCAAAAAAACGTAAGAATACAGCTATCTCTTCAATATATTGATTTTCTTTCTTTTGGGTATATACCCAGAAGTGGGATTGTTGGATTATGTGGTTGTTCAATTTTTAGTGTTTTGAGCAACCTCCAAACTGTTCTCCATAGTGGTTGCACTAATTTACATTCCTACCAACAGTTTTACGAGGGTTCCCTTTTCTTCTTATTTTTATTATACTTTACGTTTCGGGATACATGTGCAGAACCTGCAGGTTTGTTACATAGCTATACACGTACCATGGTGGTTTGCTGCAACCATCAACCCGTCATCTACATTAGGTATTTCTTGTAATGTATTGCTTGTCTTTTGAATATAAACCATTTTAACTGGGGTAAGATGATATTTCATTGTAGTTTTGATATGCATTTCTCTGATGATCAGTGATGCTGAGCAAATTTTCATATGCCTATTTTCCATTCATATGTCTTGAGAAATGGCTATTGAAATCTTCTGCCCATTTTCTGATAGCAATTTAAGACTTTTCCTATAGAGTTGTATGAGCTCCTATATTCTGGTTATTAATCCCTTGTGAGATGGGTAGTTTGCAAATGTTTTCTTCCATTCTGTGGGTTGTCTCTTCACTTTGTTGACTGTATCCTTGACTGTGCAGAAGCAACCTAAATGTTTATTGACAGATGAATAGGATAAAGAAAACGTGGTACATATACCCAATGGAGTACTATTCAGCCATAAAAAACAATGAGATCTAGTCGTCTGCAACAACATGGATGGAACTGTGTATTATTTTAAGTAAAATAAGCCAGGCACAGAAAGACAAACATTGCATATTCTCACTTGTCAGATCTAAAAATTAAAACAATTGAACCCATGGACATAGAGAATAGGAGAATGGTTACCAGATGCTGGAAAGGGTAGTGGAAGGCTGGGCTTGGGGTGAGCATGATTAACAGGTACAAAATAAATAGAAAAAATAAATAAGACCTACTATGTG
This sequence comes from Homo sapiens, assembly GCF_000001405.40. NCBI lineage: Eukaryota > Metazoa > Chordata > Mammalia > Primates > Hominidae > Homo > Homo sapiens. The sequence goes on from NC_000023.11 coordinate 33,642,515, forward strand.
ATAGCACAATAGGGTGACTATAGTCAATAATAGCTGAATTGTACGTTTTAAAATAAAGAATATAATTGGATTGTTTGTAACTCAAAGAATAAATGCTCGAGGGGATGGATACCCAATTCCTCATGATGTGCTTACTTCACATGGTACCCCTTAAGTATATAGATCTACTATGCACCCATAAAGATAAAAAATAAAATATATAGATGGTAATAAATACATAATGTGGACTCCAAATACAAATCAAAGAATACACACATTTAAGGGATGTCTTTTTTCACCTATCTAACTTACTAAAAAATTAATGAATTATATCTAATGCTGGATATAATATGGAGAAAGAGCGGGTAGAAACATCTAGACCATGTTTTCAATGCAATTTGGTAGTGCTTGTCAAGTCTTAAAAATATGTGTTTCCATGAAATCCAGACATCATAATTTATCATAAACATGAGCTAGTATCCAAAAAGTTTAGCACACTGATATTCATAATCCGGAAAATTGTAAATGAATTGTCCAGCATTGAGGTATTCATTAAATAGATCGGTATATCCACTCACTGGAATATTAATACAGAGGCAGTACAGCATTGTGGTTAAAAGTCAAACTGACGTATATCTGACTCCAAGCCTTCCCATGTACTATCTGTGGGCCTCTGCACATTTTTCTTAACTTCTTAGCTTCAGTGGTCCCATATATAAAATGGAAATAATACTGGAACATAATGCATAGGTTCGTAGAGAAGATTAAATACATCAATGTTTATAAACCACACAGCACAGTGATGCATAATAAGTACTATATAATATTATTAAAATATTGAGGAGAAATATTTCATGACTTGGAAATATATTTGCACTTTATTATGGGGAGAAGCATTATAAAATAGATAAAAATTTTTTAATGAAATATATATGTCTCAAAACGTTTAATCCATATTATTGTCCATATCTGGATTTTTTGAGTATAAGCTTTCCTCTTCATAAAGCAGTGTGACTCTTCAAACACAAGAATATTTCAGGTGTATCAATTAATCAGCTAGGACTCAGTAATAATTTACCTATTATATACAAATGGTTTCTATGCTTGGAATGAAAAATCAGGAATTAGAAAACAGGAGATTTAATGTCCATATTGATGTCTATATAGACCACACTTTTCTGCTTTCTTCTAGAAATTTTCTTTAATTTTAAAATTGTAATCTTTAATTTATTAAATTATTTAAATCTATGTTCCTCAAGTATCCAATATTCTCAGGTAACATATATTGACTTTCAAACTGATAAGTTTATAGGAAACCAAAATATAAAACATTAAGAAAAATAAAAATCTGAGTGTATATAGCTTATTTGGAAAGCACAAAGCACTAGTTGGACAATGGGTACAGAGAATGAATGACAATAAGGAGGGATATGGTAATAAGTAACATATCACAATAGTTGAATGGAAATTAGTCATGTTTTAAACCCTACCAAAGGTATAAAATCTTTCTCAGAATCTTTGCATTGGAACTGTGATGGAACTTTCAAGAAACATCGAGGTTGCTCAGAGGGATAATTTACCAACACTTTAGGCTAGCTATGTGTGTCAACAGAGCAACTTTTGATGGTTCCAAAGGGTAGGAAAAAAATTAAAGAATTTTTAAGATTAAAATATATATGTCCATGAGCTAGACAAAGATTTCTTAGATACAAATTTATTAAAAGTGCGGAGTATTTTTTAAATGACAAATTGAACTTGTTCAAAATTGAAAACCATTGTTTGTCAAAAGACACCATTACAAAAATTAAAAGATGACATCAGTAAAAATTGCAGAGTAAGTAAATACAAACTTTGGCCCTCCATAAAAGCAACAACAAAATCTAGGAAAGAACTGTCTGATTCAACTTTTACAAACTTTATAAATTAAGTAAACTATAGCAGCAAACTGGGGAATCGTTATTCAAGAAATAAGGCTTATTTTTGGTAATTACAGCTTTTTTTCATTTTGTGATGTTTTACGTTACACCATTCCCATTATCCATCATCCACTTGCCAGCTCAGCAGAAAGACCAGTGCACATTCCTGGTACCAAAGAGAGAAGACCAGACCACATTCAAAAAACTCAGAACTAATTTCATGTTGTGACATGTCTGGGACTGAGACCAGTGGGATACCATCAAGTAGAAAAACACACACATAATAAATACCCAGAAGAAGAAGAGAAAGATAATTCATCAGGAAGATATAATAATTATAAATGCATATGCACCTAGCAATAGAGCCTCAAAATACATGAAGCCAAAACTGACAGAATTTAAGTGAGAAACAGTTCAACTAACATTACTGAAGACTTCGATACCCCCCATTCAACAAGGAATAGAAAAACTAGACAGATCACCAAATAAACATAAGGCTTAAAGAACATTATATAACAACTATACCTATACGTAACTGGTATCTATAGAACATTCAATCCAAAAAGAGCATATTTGGATAATTCATAAATATGTTATAACTAAAACAATCTATTCCCAATTAATTAATAAGACAAGGAAGAAATTATAATGGAAATCAGATGATACTCTGAAAAGAATAAAAACCAAGACTAAAATACAATATACATACCAAACTTTGGAGATTCAGGAAAGCAGTGCTCAAGGAAATTTCTTAGCTGGAAATGCTTTTATTTAAAAATAATTAAGATCTCAAATCAATACCTAACTTTACACCTGACAAAACTAGAAAAAGAGCAACCTCAACCCCAAATTAAAGAAAGGAAGGATAAAGGTTAGAACAGAAATAAATGATATAGCTAACTAAAAAAATAATATGATCACAAAAAGCAATAGTTGGTTCTTGGAAAGGTAAACGCAGTTGACAAAACTAGCTATTCTGACCAAGAAATGAGAGAGAGACAGAAAGAGTGAGAGAGAGAAGAAGAAAAAGGAGGAGGAAGAAGAGGAAGAAAAAGGAGGATGAGAAAGGAAGAGGAAGGAAGGAGGGAGGAAGAGGAGGAGAGAAGAGAGAGACAGACAAGATTCAAATTGTTAAAATCAGGAATGAAGTGGGGAACATTACCAACCACCTTACGGAAGTATTGTTAAACATACACTTAACATATGATCCAGGAATTTGAATTTGGGGTATTTATCCAAAGTAAATGAATATGAATTTCCACATAAATCTTACAAGCTAATACAGTTTGAATATTCATAATCTGAAAATCCAAAACCTGAAATGCTTCAAAATTCAAAACTTTTGAGGCATTGATACGATGCTCAAAGAAAATGCTCACTAGAGCATTTTAGACTTCAAATTTTTGGATTAGGAATGCTCAACCAGTAAGTTTAAAATGCAAATTTTGTAAAATCTGAAATTTGAAACACTTCTGTTGCCAAGAATTTTGGATAAGGGATACTTATCCTGTATTTATAGCAGCTTGATTAATAGTAGCTGAATATATGAACTATCCCAAAGCTCCATCAGCTTTTAAAGGGATAAAGAACATGTTAAATTGATAGAATAGCAACTATGGAAGAAAACTCAAAAACATTATGTTAAATTAAAGAAACCAGATACATAAGATAACATATATAATTTCATTTAAATTATATCCTAAATAAGTCAAATCATTAGTGACAGAAAGATCAGAGATTGGTTGTGTCAAGAGGTGGAGATTGATTGCGAAGCAGAAAGAGGGATGAGGAAATTTTCTAAATCATTATTATGGTGATGACATAATGTGTTTATACATAGAAAAAAACTCATTGATATGCACTGAAAATTCATCAATTTTAAAACTATACCCCACTGTAATCTTAGCACTTTGGGAGGCCAAGGTGGCAGATTGCCTGAGCTCAGGAAGTCGAGACCAGCCTGGGCAACATGGTGAAACCCCGTTTCTACTAAAAATACAAAAAAAAAAGTTAGCTGAGTGTGATGTACATGCCTGTAGTTTCATTTACTCAGGGGACTGAGGCAAGAGAATTGCTTGAATCTGGGAGGTGGAGGTTGCAGTGAGCTGACATTGCGCCACTGAACTCCAGCCTGGGCAAGAGCAAGACACTGTCTGCCCCCCAAAAAATAAAAACAAAAAAAACAAAAAAACAAAACTATACCCCAATAAAACTGTTAAAAATATCACTTACAAATTCTGCCATCAAAGTAGATACCTACCCTTTGAAAATGTGAGTTTGCCACTCTTTTAATCAAGAGATGGATTTTATTTCCCCACAGCTTGGTTTTGGGCTGGATCACATAATTTGCTTTGGCCAGAGATACAAGAAATGATACATATTCAGATACTTAAAGAGTTCTGCATTTGGTATTGCCCCCAACTTACTGCTGAGACCATGAAACTATCATGTGATGGAACCCAGGCAAACTTACTGGGTGATGAGACAATCATCACCCCAGCTGACACTAGAGTCCTACAATCTTATCAATATATTCTTCAGCCCCAGCTGACCCAGGCTAAATGTAAGTGATCACTCAGCCAACTCACATAACCTCAGAAACAATAAATCTTGGTGTTTTAAACCAAGGACTCACAATCACGATGGAAGGCAAAAGGCACATCTTACGCGGCAGCAGACGAGAGAGAGCGAGAGCCAGGTGAAAAGGGAAACACCTTATAAAACCATCAGATCTCATGAGACTTATTCACGACCACGAGAACAGTATGGGGGAACTGCCCCCATGATTCAATTACCTCCCACCAGGTCCCTCCCACAGTGTATGGGAATTATGGGAGCTACTACTCAAGATGAGATTTTGGTGGGGACACAGCCAAATCATATCATTTTACCCCTGGCCCCTCCCAAATCCCATGTCCTCACATTTCAAAACCAATCATGTCTTCCCAACAGTTCCTTAAAGTCTTAACTCATTTCAGCATTAACTCAAAAAGTCCACAGTCAAAAGTCTTATCTGAGACAAGGAAAGTCCCTTCTGTCTATGAGCCTGTAAAATCAAAAGCAAGTTACTTAGTTCCTAGATACAATGGGGGTACAGGCATTGAATAAATACTCCCATTCCAAGTGGAAGAAATTGGTCAAAATGAAGAAGATAAAGTCCCCATGCATGTTGAAATCTAGCAGGGCACTCAAATCTTAAAGCTCCAAAATGATCTCCTTTGATTCCATGTCTTACAACCAGGTCATGCTGATGCAAGACGTTGGCTCCCATGGACTTGGGCAGCTCCACCCTTGTGGCTTTTCAGGGTACAGTCCCACTCTTTGCTGCTTTTATGGGCTGGCATTGAGTGTCTGCAACTTTTCCAGGTGAACAGTGCAAGCTGCCAGTGAATCTACAATTTGGGGGTCTGGAGGATGGTGGCCCTCTTCTCACAGCTCCACTAGGCAGTGCATCAGTAGGGACCCCATGTAGGGGTCAACCCCACATTTCCCTTCTGCACTGCCCTACCAGGGGTTCTCCATGACGGCCCTACCCCTGCAGCAAACTTGTTCCTGGACATCCAGGCATTTTCATACATCTTCTGAAATCTAGGCAGAGGTTCCCAAACCCCAATTCTTGATTTCTGTGCACCTGCAGGCTCAACACCACATGTAAGCTGCCAAAGCTTGGGGCTTGCAACATCTGAGGCCATGGCTCAAGCTGTACCTTGGCCCATTTTAGCCATGGCTAGAGCAGCTAGGAAGCAGGGCACCAAGTTCCTAGGCTGCACATAACAGGGGGGACCTGGGCCTGGCCCAAAAAACCATTTTTTCCTCCTAGGCCTCTGGACTTGTGATGAGAGGGGCTGCCACAAAGTTCTCTGACATGCCCTGGAGACATTTTCCCCATTGTCTTGGAGATTATCATTTGGCTCCTCATTACTTATGCAAATTTCTGCAGCTGGCTTGAATTTCTCATCAGAAAATTGTTTTTTTTTTTCTATCGTATCATCAGGCTGCAACTTTTCCAAAATGTTATGCTCTGTTTCCCTTTTAAAACTGAATGCTTTTAACAGCACCCAAGTCACCTCTTGAATGCTTTGCTGCTTAGAAATTTCTTCCACCAGATACCCTAAATCACCTTCCTCAAATTCAAAGTTCCACAAATCTCTGGGGCAGGGGCAAAATGCCACCAGTCTCTCTGCTAAAATATAGCAAGAGTCATGTTTACTACAGTTCCCAACACGTTCCTCATCTCCATCTGAGACCACATCAGCCTAGATTTCATTGTCCTTATCATTATCAGCATTTTGGTCAAAGCCATTCAAAAAGTCTCTAGGTAGTACCAAACTTTCCCACATTTTCCTGTTTTCTTCTGAGCCCTCCAAACTGTTCCAACCTCTGCCTGTTACACAGTTCCAAAGTTGCTTCCACATTTTTGACTATCTTTACAGCAGCACCCCACCTCTTGCACCAACTTACTGTATTACTCCACTTTCACATTGATAAAGACATACACAAGGCTGGCTAATTTATAAAGAAAAAGAGGTTTAATGGACTCACAGTTCCACGTGAGTCATAATCATGGCAGAAGGCAAAAGGCACATCTTACATGGTGGCAGACAAGAGAGAATGAGAGTCAAGCAAAGAGAGAAACACCTTATGAAACCATCAGATCTCGTGAGACTTATTTACTATCACGAGAACAGTATGGGGGAAACCACACCCACGATTCAATTACCTCCCACTGGGTCCCTCCCACAACATGTGGGAATTATGGGAGCTACAAGTCAAGATGAGATTTGAGTGGGGACACAGGAAAACCATATCAACCCTGTCCTACTAATCCGAAAGGGTGAATATATCGCTACCCAATACAATGTTACTTGAAAGTCATGCAACTAATAACATCATTATTCTCTTCCTAGTGCCTCCCAATTGTCCTGATGGAAAGGGACTTGTCATAGGTGAGTTTCATTTTTTGTTGTCAACATCATGTTTACTGGAGTTTAGATTACAAGAGAAGTCATACTTTTTAGGTGTACAGTTCTGAATTTAAATATGCATTCAGTTCTGTACCTCTACCAAACACAGAATATAGAATATTTCCATCACTTCAAAACATTATCTTGTACCACTCTGTGTTAATTTTCCAACCCTACTGTCATCTTTTAGGAAACAGACACCAAAATATAACAGGAAAAATTATATAGTCAGAAAGTAGAATGGAATTTTTACAGGATTTCTTGTTTAATAGGTATGGAGATTCTGTTTGGAATCAAAATTTTATGAAATTGGATATTGGTGATGGTTGTACAACATTATAAATACACTTAATGCCACTGAATTGTACACAGATAACAATGGTTAAAATGGTAAATTTTATGTTATATACATTTTACCATAATAAAAATCATATTTGCCTTATTTTAAATTTATGTAAATTGAATCTTATAGGGTATACTTTGCTATGGCTGGATTATTTTGTTCAGTGTTATTTGTACAGTTCATCTATGTCAGTACATATCGTTGGAGTCCATTTATATTCATTCTGTTCTGTGAATATAGCATGATTTACATATTCAGTTTATTGCTAATAAACATTTTAGCTGTTTCTGGTGCTGGACTATTCCACATAATGCTGCTATGAAGCAATATTTTAGATTCCAAAATAGGAAAAAAAATAAACTTAGCTTTTGCCACCACAAATTGTAGATAAATGAAATCAATTACCATAATTCTCGGTCAATAATTTCAGAGATTACTGAGTCAGCATAAGCAATCATAAAGTGTCCTATGTATATTTATTAATATACTTGATTTAATTATTTCTAAGTAACTTTTAGCCTATACCCGTTTTTCATTTTTACCCTTGTTCATATTTGATTGGTATAAATGTGTGAGAATATTAAGGTATCTTCCCTAGATTCTTGCTTTTGTCCCAAATACCACATTACTGCACTCTAAAAATTAGGTTCAAACTTCAAGGGGAGTGAGTATATTTTGCTGGAAGAGTTTGCTCTGTTGCCCAGGCTGGAGTGCACTGGTGTGATCTTGGCTCACTGCAACCTCCACCCCCCGGATTCAAGCGATTCTCCTGCCTCAGCCTCCCAAGTAGCTGGGACTATAGATGCACAGCACCATGCTTGGCTAATGTTTGTATTTTGAGTAGACAGGGTTTCACCATGTTGGCCAGACTGGTTCTGAACTCCTGACCTCAAGTGATCCACCTGCCTTGGCCTCAGAAAGTGCTGGGATTACAGATGTGAGCCACCGTGCCCGGCCCTCGAAATCTTGTTTCAGGATTCAGGCAAGTACTATACTTGTATGATATATTTATGTAAGTGTTATAATAATGGAGACTTACATATTTTACATATACATACATGCAGTGTTTTGGTTAATTGTTAAATATATCTGTCCTCAGGTTGAAAAGTGGTTTATATAGTCTTGTGATTTTTAGAATTCTTCTAAATTTTGATTCCAAGACTGTATTTTGCAAGACAGGTTGTCAATGCAACCCTGTCAAATTTATATATAGAGACACAAATCTAATTTTCGTTTTTTTCAGGTTTTATTGCCTCTTTAGAGTAAAAAAGTACCAACTTTTTGGAAAGCATTTTATTCACTCAAATTAGCTTCTGAACCTTATTGCATCCACTTTAGGCTAAATCTGCTAAGTTAACATTGGCATGTCTTTGCAAACACTTCCATGATGATGGTTTGGAAAAGATGTGTTGACTTTCAATTCTAAAGTTACTAAGTGTGGAATCCCTGATCTGCCTGGCCACAGCATCATTCATCATCTGACTAAATTCACATGAATAGAGATAACTATATTAATTACAAATACTACAAATTTTAACTAGAATAAACAAAGAGAAAGGTGACTGCATGACATATAATAGCCAAGACTGCAATTCATGTGTTAGGTGTTTATACAGTACTTCATACAGTATTTAATATATGAAACATTGGGTTGAGGGATACTTTTAAATTTTGTTTTCAGCCGGGCGCGGTGGCTTACGCCCGTAATCCCAGCACTTTGAGAGGCCAAGGTGGGTGGATCATGAGGTCAGGAGTTCAAGACCAGCCTGGCCAAGATGGTGAAACCCCATCTCTACTAAAAATACAAAAATTAGCCAGGCACAATGGCACGATGGCAGGTGCCTGTAATCCCAGCTACTCGGGAGGCTGAGGCAGAGAATTGCTTAAACCCGTGAGGCGGAGGTTGCAGTGAGCCGAGAGCAAGCCACTGCACTCCAGCCCGGGTGACAGAGTGAGTCTCCATCTAAAAATATATATAAATAAAATGTTTTAAAAAAGTTTTTACTGTTAGTACAAGGAAGTAAACATGATTAAAGCTGAATGGCTAGGAAGTGAGCTCTAATAACATAAAATTGAGAAATACACTGCTTTCCCCTTTTGAAATTGGAATGAAATTTAATTTGAATACGCCAATTACCTAGCACTTTGCTATAAAGCATACTAGATCTTGAAAAAAATTCTAACAGGGAAGAAATGAAAATTGCCGACATATGCTATCTTGGCATTCCCATAGATATAAGATGAATTATGATTTTTTGTTTTCATAATATGTAAGTTAATGTTAGTATTCCTAGCTTTGCAATACCTGTGTGACCTGGTATTTATGAGGAATTGTTTCCAGGACTGCTGTAGATACCAAAATCCACAAATCCTCAAGTCTCTTATATAAAATGGTGTGCTATTTGCATATAACCTACGCACAACCTCCTATACACTTCATCTCTAGATTACTTATAATACCTACTAAAATATGTAAATGCTCTATAAGTAGTTGTTATACTGTATTGGTTTTACTTGTATTTTTTATTATTATAGTGTTTTTATTGTTTTTGCCTGAATATGTTAAATCTGAAGTGGGCTGAATCCATGGATGCAGAACTCACAAATACTGAAGGGCGACTTTATTTTAAAAAGTGGAAATGTAATAAATTGATAATCAGTCTTTGTGCATTTGCTCATACTGGATTTTAAGTAATTACAGAAACAAGAATACAGAACTTTCTTAGTCTTAAAATAATTATTCAGTAGCTTTTCCAGTAATCTTTAAAAGACTAAACCTATTGATAAGTATATTGTTGTTTAAAATTGCATAATTTATTGTCAAATATGAATCGCTAAATATCTTTTCTATAAAATCATTCTGGCATACTTGTAGCTTTTATCAATTAATTATGTCAGCTATTTATTAGCTAAGAGATTGTAACTCCCTGAAATAGCCTCACAAATATAGCCACAGATATCATGGTTGTAGACAATAAGCGGTATTTAGTGATTGAAACAATATATATCTTAGCAAATATGCTACACTCTTCACTCTAGCCATGGCTCTGTGGAAAACACATCTGTTTTCTTCTCATCATGTCACATTATCTCTTATATCCATTGGTTCCTCATTAAAAGGATGAAGAAAAAAATAGTACCCTGTATATACAAACTTATACTACAATTCTTGAAGCTTATTAAATTTTCTTATAAATATTTCTTAATGACAAAGCATTATTTCCAGTATATACAGTGCCTCATATGGAGGATTCAACAGCAAAGTTCCCAAGGGTTGTAGAATTATTGCTTACTCTGCTAAATGATCAAGAATAACCTTTATTAAGCAAATTATGTTTAGAGAGATATTACTCTCTATCCCCACTAATGTTAATTTTCTGATGTCAAATGGATTTGAAAAGTGCGGCTAACTCTAACTCTTGGAAATTAACAGAACAGATTAAAGATTGTTAACAGTCTATAATAATAAGCAATTTTTTTAACCTAAATATCCTCAAGTATTGCTTAGATTCCTCTTTTATTACATAGCTAAACACTAAAGAATTCTAGACTAAAATATTATTATTTAAAATTATTCTCACATTCTTATGATTGTTTGGTCTTTTATCAACTATTGCCAAAAATCTGAAATAATACATATGTCTACCCCAACACTTAATGGCTTAAAATAATAGCCATACATGGGTTAGCTAGACTTGGGCTGATCTTTGCCAGGATCAGTAGAGTCAGTTATGTTCTATGTGTCTCTCATCTTCCTTAGCCTAATAGTTTAGCAGAATAAGTTCATTTCATGGTGATAGAAGAGGCACAACAGAGCAAACAAATACCAAGGCATATTAAAGCCTAGGTTTGGAACTGGCACACTTTTACTATTGTTTCATTCTATTTCTAACGTAAGTTACATGGCCAAGTACAAAGTCAAGGGAGCAGGGAAACACACTCTGCCTTTACAAGAGGAACTATGGAGTCACACAAAAATACTATGGAAATAAGAAGAGATGAAACATTAAGATCAATAATACAATTTACCATAAGTCTTTTCTCTCATTTCAGGCTGTCAGCTGTCAAGTCAACTGGTATAATTGTGAATGTTTCTAATGTGCTTCTAATAAGATTTATTTAGGAATTTAAATAACAAAAATGTACGTAAAAATAAGAATTCACAAGTTCTCATCAGACGCTGTGTGGTTTTCTTGGGAATAAGTTTCAACATACACCATCCATAAACTTGGTGGCTTATAGTGTGGTCTGCTCAGGGTATCTATTTATTTACTTTCTGGAAATGAAATGATGCCTGAAGCTTAGCTCCAGATATGAATATTTTTTACTATCAGCTTACTTTTCTTTTTTTCCACTTCGTAATTTCTGTTTAATTAATTATTAAAATGAGGATAAGTCAAGGAGGATATCAATGAATAGAAAATTTTGTGAGCCATAATTATACATAAACCATGCAACTCTGGAATCTACAAGAATACAGTAGATTATTATTTTTAAAAATCATTTACTTTTTTAATTTCGTGTAGGTGGAGTTATAATTTTCCACTCTATTGACTTTGGACTTGGCCACAAGACTTATTCTGGCCAACGGACAGTAAGAAAACATGATGTTTGAAACAACCAAACAGAAATGTTTAAAGACATTACAAATTTCCATTTGTGTACGTCTTTTCAGTTCTCTACATGAAGTGAACAAATTCCAAATCAGAGCTCATCATTCAGTCTGAGCCTGGAAGAAAAAGATACATGAAACAGACTTGATTCCAACTCATAGTCAGAAGTGAGTGGAGCAATAGGCATGTAACAGGAGAGAGAAATAAACAACCGTCCTTTTGGGACACTGAGATTTGCAGTTGTATCTTATGTATCATCATCTAGCAAAACAGAATAATACACAAGATTTATATATCGGAATGTGGGAATTCTTTATAATTAAGTAGCTAGGATGTAACTGAGTGCTAAATTAGTGCAGAACAAAAGAAAATCTGAGAATACATAGAAGACTAAAAGAAACGAATATTACCTTCTTAATCTCTTCACTGCTCATTTTGTGCCTTGCTTAGGTGTCACTATTGTCTATATTTTATAGAAAATTGAAAAAAATGAGTTAATTAGATCATGTATTTGGATTGCTGAGAAGTCTTTTTTAAAAATACTTTTGTCCTATAATACTAATACCTGGGTACTATGAAACAATAAGTACAACAAACCCCAGTGACACTTGTTTACCTATGTAACAAACCTTCACATGTATCCCCAACCCAAAATAAAAGTTTAAAAAAAAAGAAATATTAAAAATAAATAAATTTGAAAAAAATACTAACATAATCTTAATATACCTTAGAAATCCAACATTTTGGTTTTATGCATCATGTTTTAGACAATTTTTTCACAATTAAAAGCAGCCCAAGATAATCATCAGACTCAGTTTTTGATACATTGCTTGCACAATTTGGTATGTTCATGAGCTGTATTTTAGCAACAAACAAATCAATTTCACATTTGGAAGCTTTCACATTTGAGTTAACTGAACTCTGTAGCCTCATTAATCCTTAATCTTAAGAAACAAACAAAACAAAACATAAAATGGTAAACAACCTTCAACTTACCATGTACATGTGTTGCACTATTTGAGAGGAAAACTCTAGTATACTTAGCTTTTCATTTGGGGCTCAATGTGCCCCATTCTACTTTTCTATTCTTCCACAACATGAACTTTCATAGGCATTACTAAGAAAAAGTTAAACCACATGATTTGCTAATTTAAACATATTTAAACATTTAATAATTAAATTACCATATACATAGCTTAATATATTTTGTATTATAGATCTTCACTGGTAAGTAGATTATGGTTAAAGGTTCCTATATGTCAGTAGTTCTTAACTTTTAGGGATTAGCCATCGTTTTGAAAATACAAATATAAATGTTCTTTTCTTTAGCAACGGGCTAGGAGCCAGACAAAAATGACTGAGAAAAGAAAACAATGTAGAAAACTCTACATAGCCTTTTAAAAATAGAGCTCAGTGGACGCTTTGCTGGCTACTTCCTAGGTAGGATAAATACTGCCCATCTCTTACTAGAAAAACATAGATTTTTAAGTGACCCAATGTTCCTATGAGAATGTACATTATTTCACCTGCTAGAATTCTCTTGTAAAATGTAGAAGAAAAAAATTAATTGAAAAACACATAGATCCATGTCCCTTCATCTAAAACTCACACCTATGATTCACAGAAAATTACTAGGCTACCAGCCATTTCAGATTTTGATGCTAGGCACAAATTCCCTGCCCGAATTCACTGTATCACTACATGAATATACGTCATTAGCCACATAAATTATTTTGAACTGAATTATAGTAAATTATACAGTATTACTGTTCACATAGCTTGAAAAGTGTTTTCTGACTCATTCTTATAACTTATTCTACATAAGAAAATAATAAGTTTAGAGAGATTTAAGTATAAAGCATTATTTTTAAAACTCTTTACATGAGGGCAAACATTTGTTAATATTATCTAATTATTCCTCGAAATAAATTCTTTGGTAATTCATTTTTGTTTTTTAGAAACTAAAGTCTTAGAGTTAGAATAAAAAAAAAAGCCTGCAAACAGAAACAATGTATTTTCAAGTGTTATTTTTCAGATATATTGCAGTGCATTTTAATTTTATAAAGTCAAAAGAATTTATAAGTAAATAAACTATCCAATGTCACTTTCTGCTATCCTGAATAATTATCAATAAATGCATGTATTCATAATGCTCATTTGAATATGAATGGGAGCCTGTCAGGGAATAGCTTGTATGTCCATTTCAGTTTTACACAATGGGAGGTACGTGATCACACATAACGTACTTCACCAGAATAAGGAGATAAAGCTGTAAGATGTCCCTTGAAATTAAAAGATTTCTCAACACAAAATTCTCAGATTCATCATCCACAATCAATGTAGATTTGTTTATAAATTGGTTTTAGCAAGACTCCTCACGTTAAGTCATGCCACATGTAAAATAACATTCCAAACAGTAGGATGGCTGTAGTGTTGGAGAAACAGAACAATCTAAGTTTTAATCTCACTTTTGTGATTGACTAAATTTGACGTATTGGGTTATTTAATATTGGAGTGCCCATCTCTTTATCTAAAAAGGGAAAATAGTAAGTTAAGAATTCTTACGAATATTAAGTAACATGTTTCTCATCACAATACAGTAGATACCAAAATCATGTCACAGACATGTTGTGTTAGAAAACCAGATCTGATCCAGTGTACAGTGTAGCAATAGGTAGCGGAAGTATAGAAGTTCAAGCCTTTGCCTTTACTTTCAACTCCTAAAATAGTTCACTTGGCATTTTCCCCCTGGGTTCTTTAAATATGCCTTATACTCTGGTGTATACAAATGTGTGCCCCTACCTTGCAACTACTCCTAAAACAGAAATTTGATACCAGGACTGAGTTTGGAGCCCTGAAATCAGTTACTACCAGCAAATTCCTAAAGTCCCCATCAACATGTTTACCTATCTGAAAGGATGCTCCCTTTCTACTTTTTTCTGATGATCTGTATGGATTCTCTTCCTATCACATATTATTCTCCTTTATGGAAACTGTGTTCTATTATTTGTGTTATATTGTTTATCTCCTGATAACTATTTGTTACAGGATGTGCCTCAGCATTCTTACCTTAAAAACCAATGGGATTTCTAATCTCAGAGTCACAGCTGAGTGCGTATACATTCAATGATTTTATAGCTCATGCTGGTTTTCCTATTCATCCATGATTTTTGAAAATAAGGATTCTTTCTAACTACTACTCACTGGTTGAACACCTTAAGCAATCTTTATCTAGGGTACAATGCTCCAGATATTAACCCTTATTATCCTTTATAATAAGGATATAAATTATCCTTCTATTACTTCCCAAACTCTGTTGTAATCTGTTAGTCTATTTTAATATACTTCAGGCCCTGGGAAAACTAGTGAAACTAGGTAGGACCATGACTTTGACGATCACTTGATATACAAGGTAAGATCCAAAAGCAAAAAATTCTTTCAATACTGTGTCTGCTATTACTTAACTCATTTTTCTTTTATCGATAAATAATGATTGTGAAAACTAACTGAAACTGCCCATGTGAAAATGAGTAGCACAGATCCTAGTTCATATAATTAGAATATTTTGAAAGACAGACAGAAACCGGCCCTTATCTTAAAGTGTTTAAAATCCTCTTATGAGAGATATGTAGAACAGCAATCAACCATATCATAATGCAATTAATAAATAATGAGGTGCTAGTTGATAAGCTACAGAATTCAGCAAGTAACAAATATTCAGGCAATTTGTCTTTGAGATACATGTGCATACTAGAGATTTAAATATGATGATAAAAATAAATGAAGAAAACACATGATGAAGAAGACCTTACAAAGAGTAATTAGGAAGATGTGATACTAAAATCACTAAAAATGCAATACAGTTATCCCTTTGCATCCATGAATTCCGCATCCATAGCATCAACCAACCAAGGATCGAAAATATTTGGAAAGAAAATTCCTCCTGTATAGACGTTTTTTCTTACCATTATTCCCCAAACAATACAGTATAACACCTTTTTGCATATAGTTTACAAGTAATCTAGAGATAATTAAGGCATATGGGAGGATGTGCATAAGTTATATGCAAATACTATGCCATTTTACATGAAAGACTTGAGTACCCAATAATTTTGGTATTTGTGCGAGGTCCTGGAAGAAATTCCCCCAGAGATGCTGAGTATTTCATTCTTATTCCTTTTATTAACGTGACTTGCTAAAAGTTTAAAATATATGATCTGATTAAACTTCTAAAATTGTCTAGTAAAAAATAAAAAAGACAAAAAGTAAAATATCAGATATAAAAGGATAAAATAATTACACATTAAGACAGGTTAGAACATAAATTAAAAGATAAATGAAAATAATGAAGATGTTAATAACTACAAGATCAAGAAAAAGACATCAGTTAGGTAGGTTAGAGGCCTTAGGAAAACATGAAACTTAATGGTCATACAATAAATATCATACCATTTTAAAGTTCTGGATCTTAAGCTTTTGGCAAAATTTATACACACTTCTTACATATTCATATACATATTTGATTACTGAAAATTGTGTGGGAACTCTATTATCATAGTCCTCCAAATCTTACCCTTTATACATTTTAAACTTATTAGAAAAAGAGATAAATATATAGTACTATTTCTAAAAGGAAAAGAAACCCAAAATATGTACAATTGAAATCATAGATTGAGTGCTATTCCCCCAAGTTTCCAAATTTTTTACGTATGTTACATTTTTTTTTTAATCTTGAAAAGCCAAAAATGAACATACTATTATCTTGAATTATTTCAGTAGATTTGCCTCAAAGAGTTTAAGGTTCATGCTGGTTTGCCTATCTAGCTATAACTTTGTACAATGGGGTTTCTAACTACTGCTCATTGATAGTTCACCTCAAGGTTGTTTAACTACCATGCCAATATCTATAGGCATAAATCTGCAAGTATTAAGAGTTACAGGGTTGTCCTGAATTTTTAAATGATTTAATGCTATTTGCTTTAATCTTCTGTTGCAGTGAACTTTAAATCCTCCAAGCAAACATCTATTGATTATAAACAAATTATAAAATCATTGCACTAAACTTTTGTCAACCATATTGTAGACTTCTTTTCAAGAGGAGAAGATATTACTAAATATTATCTGATGCATTATTTCTAAACATTTGTCCCAAGAATGACTGTAAATTGACATCTGCTGGAAACATATTATATAGACCTTTCACCAAAATCAAACATAGCAATATATAAATGTACACAAATCCATCTGTATTCATGCACACATATGTGCCTTCTTACATATATGCATATCTGAACACTGAAACACAGACTTTCATAATTCCTTTATTTTCTTAAAATCAAATTTACACAAAAGAAATATTTGAACATGTTCAACATGTTGTCAACTACTAATATAAAATTTTAATGCACAGAGCTGCCAAAATCCACCAAAAAAGGAAACCTTTAAGAAATATTTTTTTATATTGTGATATCCTGAGGAAAAAAATCACTGAATGGCCTTTTTCATTACTATTTAGTGTGATAATTACTAGGTGCTAGTCCTCCTTCTTCCAGATAAATACAGTGTGGTAAAGGAGAATGAACAAAAATGTAGATGACTACAGACAAGATTAATGAAGACAACATCAGAGCTATTCTCAGGGTGCTGTGGAAACTGTCTAACCAAAATTTGCAGAAATGGTATTTTGAAAGGCTTCTGGAAGGTATAAAAGTTGAAATGAGTCCTGAAAGATAAATAAGCATTATCTGAGGGGAAAAAGAAAATAGGTGAAGGACAACCCAGAGACTTAGACAGCGGGTATTCATGGAGGGTATGAAATAAGATGGTCATAATTTAGAGACTTCAAGTAGCACGGTATAAAGAACACATGTGTTTTGAGGTGGATAATGCTGAAATACGATACTGAAGCAGTAAGCTGGGACCAGTCCAGATTAAACACTCTGATAAGGTTGTGCATTATCCATATTTCATTAGGGGGAATTAAAAAATAAAACCATTAGACAGCAAAATGACACAATCATATGTGTGCTTTAGAAGGAAAACCCTAGTAGAAGCATGGCATAGAGAGCAAAAATCAAGAAAAACTGCTCAATGAAGATCTGAAATAAGGTAGGGGTTAACAAAAAGAAAAATGTGGGGAAGATAAAAAAAAAGTGAGGCAAAACCTTAGAAGTCTTTGGTGAATGAAAGTCTTTGGTAACTGAAAGAGTTAATATACATAAAGAGATGGCTCTTTGGTGTCTTTAATGGACATCTAGATGACTAATGTTACTGTTTGACGAATTATAGAAAATATGAGAAGACAAGTTTGCAGATAGAGTTAAGTGGATGAGTACAGTTAATAAAGTGTAGGTCTTATTATGCTAGAGAACATTGACTTTGTAATATTCAGTGGGACATTACAGTTCTGGAGCTTATGAGATGAGATAAATCAGAATGGATTTATAGAACTGAAGGTCAAAAATGTAGACAACAGAATCACTAATTGAAATATAAATTGAATAATGAAGAATATGTAGAGGGAAAAGGATGATTGGAATAAATCTAAAAGAAATAACAATAGTTAAAGTTGAGACAAAGAAAGTATAGTCAAGATACAAAGCAAAATAAGGAGAGCCAAGAAGATGGAAGAAAACTAAGGGAGAGTGTTTCTTCATAAGTGAATGAAGAAATTTAAAAATTTTTTAAAATTCTTGAAACTAATGAAAATTTAAACAAAGCATACCAAAACCTATGACTACAGCAAAACAGTTCTAAAAGGGAAGACTATAGCAACAAACACCTAATCAAAATATATTAGAAAGATCTCAAATAAACGCCTTAAATGTTAACATAAAGAAATTAGAAAAACAAGAGCAAACTAAACCCAAAATTAGAAGAAAATAAATAATAAAGATCAGAGTATAAATGAACTAAACAGAGAGGAAATAACATAAAAAATCGAGTAAACAGAGTTGTTTTTTGAAAAGATAAACAAAATAAAGAAACCTTTAGCTCAAGCTCAACTAAGACAAGAAGCATATTGAAATCAGAGATGGAAAAAGAGACATTACAAGTGATACCACAAACAATGCAAAGGATCATAATATACTATTATGAAGAACGATATGCCCAAAATTGAAAATCCTGGAAGAAATGAATAAATTCTTGGACACATACAACCTACCAAAATTAAATCATAAAGAAAGTGGAAATCTGAGCTGACCGATAGTGAATAATGACACCAAGAAGCAATAAAAAAGTCTCTCATCAGAGAAAAGCCCAGGACCTTACAGCTTTTCTGATGATTTCTACCAAACATTTAACGAACTGATACAATTTTTTAAAAACTATTCAAAAAAATTAAAGTGGAGGAAATTCTTTCAAACGCATTCTACAAGGCCACGATCACTCTAATACCAAAAATTAGGCAAGGACACAATTTAAAAAGAAAAGTACCAGCCAACATCTCTGATGACCATACAAGGAAAAACCAACAAAATACTAGGACACCCAATTTGACAACATATTAAAAAGATCATTCACCATGATCAATTGGGATTCATCCCAGTTGTACAAGGATGATTTGATATATGCAAATCAATAAACACAAGACACCACATGTACAGAATCAAGAAAAAAGCCAATATGATCATTTCAATAGATGCAGAAAAAGCACTTGATAAACATCCTCTGTGATAAAAACTCTTAAGAAATTAGGCACAGAAGCAATGTACCTCAACACAATAAAGTCCATATAGGACAAATGCACAGCTAATATTGCACTGAATGGGGAATAGGTGAAAGCTTTTCCTCTGAAATCTGGAAAAAAATACAAACAAGAATGTCTACATTCATCACTTTTATTCAGTATAGTGCTGGAAGCCCTAGTTAGGGCAATTAGGCAAGAGAAAGAAAGGGCATCAAAATTGGAAAGGAAGAAGTCAAATTGTCTCTGTCTGCATATGACATAATCTTATATATACAAAACCCTAAAGACTCCACCAAAAATATTAGAATAAATTTATTCAGTAAAGTTGCAAGATACAAAATCAACATATAAAATCAGTAGCATTAATATACACCAATAGCAAACTATCTGAGAAAAAAATGAAGAAAGCAATATCATTTACAATAGTTAAAAAATAAAACTAGGAACACATTTAACTAATGGATTGAAAGAGCTCTACAATGAAAACTATAAAACACTGATGAAAGAATTAGAAGAGGATACAAATGGAAAGATACTCTGTGTTCAAGGATTAGAGAATTGATATTGTTTAAATGTCCATACTATCCAAAGCGATCTGAAGAGTCAATGCAATCTCTATCAAAACACTAATGGCATCTTCACAGAAATAGGAGAAAATCTAAATATTTGTATGGAACCACAAAATAACTCAAATAGCCAAAGTAATCTTGAGTGAAAAGAACAAAGCTGGAGGCATCACACTATATGACTTACTACATAGCTATAGTAACCAAATGAGCATCATATTGGCATAAAAAATAAACATAGAGACCAACAGAAGAGAAAACACAGAAATAACTCCACACACCTACAGTCAACTGATTTATACAAAAGTGTCAGAAACAGTCAATGAGAAAAGGACAATCTCTACAATAAATGGTCCTGGGAAAACTGGATATCTGCATGCAGAAGAATGAAGCTACATTCCTATCTCTCACCATATAAAAGAATCAACTTAAAATGGATTCAAGATTCAAATGTAAGACCTGAAAGTATGAAACTACTAGAAGAAAATATGGGGGAAACTATTCATGACATTGGTCTAGGCAAGGATTTTTTTGATATGTCCTTAAAAGCACAGGCAAAAGAAAGCAAAAATAGACAAATGGAATTATATCTTACTAAAGAGTCCTGCACAGCAAAGGAAACAATGAATGAAGACACAACATACAGAATGGGAGAAAATGCTTGCATAGTATGCATGTGACAAGGGGTTAATAACCAGAATATATAAGAAACTCAATAGCAAAACAAAAAACAACAAAAAAAAACAAAAACAAACAAACTCCAATTTAAAAATAGGCCTAAGACCTGACCTAACATTTCTCAAAAGAAGATATACAAGTGGCCAACAGGTATATGAAAAATTCCTTAATAAGACTAATCATCAGGGAAACGCAAATCAAAACCACAGCAAGACATCACCTCACACTTGTCAACATGACTATTATCAAAAAATTAAAATAAAAATAACATTATTCAGCTCCCATTTATAAGTGAGAACATGCAGTGTTTGGTTTTCTGTTCCTACATTAGTTTGCTTAGGATAATAGCTTCCAACTCCATCCATGTCCCTGCAAAGGACATGATCTCGTTTCTTTTTATGGCTGCATAGTATTCCATGGTGTATATGTACCACATTTTCTTTATCCACTCTATCATCGATGAGTATTTGGGTTGATTCCACATTTTTGCTATTGTGAATAGTGATGCAAAAAACACACAAGGACATGGAGGGGAACAACACACACTGGGGCCTGTTGGGGGGTGAAGCAGAGGGGGGAAGAGTATTAAGAAAAATAGCTAATGCATGCTGGACTTCATACCTAGATGATGGGTTGGCAGGTGCAGCAAACCACCGTGGCACACGTTTACCTATGTAACAAACCAGCACATCCTGCACATGTAGCCTATAACTTAAAAAAAAACACCCACTTCAAACAGAAAAGAATTATTTTTAACACTCCTTTTAAATAAAAATTTAACACACACACAACTAAAAAAATAAAAAATATTGGCATGGATGTGGAGAAATGGGAACACTTATACATTATTGGTGGGAATGTACATTAGTACAGCCATTTTGGAGAATAGTAAGAAAGTTCTTCAGAAAAATGAAAATAGAACTGTCATATAATCCAGTAATCCCACTACTGGGTACTATCCCAAAGAAATGAAATTGGTATATTGAAGAGATAGCTGTACTCCCATGTTTATTGAAGCACTATTCGCAATAGCCAAGATTTAGAAACAACATGCCACTCAACAGATGAATGGATAAAGAAACTGTTACACATATATACAATGGAATACTGTTAGCCATAAAAAAGAATAAAATCTGTCATTTGCAGCAACCTTCAGGAACTGGGAGAACATTATGTTAAGTGAAATAAGCCAGGGACAGAAAGACAAATATAGGATGATATCACTCATCTGTGGAATTTTTTTAAAAAAATAAACTGATCTCATAGAACCACAGAGTAGAAGACCAGATACTAGAGACTGGGGAAGGGTGGAGAAAGGTGGAGACTGGGAGAGATTGGTCAATGAGTAGAAAATTACAGACAGGAGGAACAGGTTCTGGTGTTCTATTGCATATTAGGATGGCTATAGTCAACATTATTGTATGTGTATGTCAAAATAACTAGAAGAGAAAATTTTGAATCTTCTCACAACAAAACATTTTGATATTTAAGGTGATGTAAAAGCTAATTACCCTAATTTTTATTACACAATGTATACACATATGAAAAAAATCACATTGTACCCTCTAAGTATGTACAATTATGTGTCATTTAAAAATAAAACATTTTAAGAAATAGATGAAACATTTTCAAGGAGATTTGTGAAGGAAACAGTGACTTTGCTACCTAGTATGCATTCAGCCTTCCTCTCCCCTTCTGGAAAAGATCATGTGATTTCTTTGGGGAAACTACCACTTTTTACTATCAGGCCAGGTTGTTGGATGGTGTTGTCATCTAGCAATATTTGAGAAACCGATTCCTCTTGTCAACGTTCTTGATTCATGCATGACCATATGACACAATCAAAACCAATGGTAATATTTTGAGTCTTTATGTGAAAATTCACTAATAAAGAATATTGCTTAGGTTTTTTAACCATCATTAGACACAATGCTGTTTCTGGGAACCATCACATGAAACAAAAAAAAGCAGGAGCAGCAGAGCCAAGTGAAACTGTGTCCTACATTGTGGCTGCTGCTGCTGCTTTTGTTATAGGCATCAATGAATTCAAGTACTGTGTCAGCCTGAGTTCCATTTCTTTTACTTTTGTCACTTTATATAGAAATGTCCCTACAGCATACAAGATGTTTACAAGTGTCAAATACAAAAAGAATAATAAGATATGAAGACACAGACCTATTTAGCAATGAAATTATTTGTAAAGTTGACCAGAGATTTTTTTGTTGTTCACATTTACGAATGTAAAAGACATGAATTGCATCCAGCCATCATAGATTGTTCTACCAAATAAGCCAGGAGATGGAAAAAGTAAAGAAGTGGGTTTTATAAGGGGTTAGTAAGCATTAGTATCAAAATGAATGCCTAGAAATTTGGATTCTCAATGTCAGAATTATAGTATTTTTGTAAGAAGAGTCCCATCAGATGTTAAGTCTACTTGTATTCAACTATAAATCAGAGAAGTATCAGTGTAAATGTAAAAATTCATGTTTTGTGCTCACAATGATATCTTTTCTACCACCAAAAATGCATGTTTTAAAACATCTTTAACATTTCAGGGTCTTCTATTATGTTATTTACATATATCACTTTTATATTTTATTCCAAATACTATAATTTCAGCAAAACAGTATAGAAAATTTGCTTGTATTACATGGTGAAGGATGAGACGTGTGTAATAACTCATTATGATATACTTAATAGACCTGTCCTTGGTACCAGCAAAAGTAAAAAGCAGCATTAAATGGATTTTTTTTTTTTTTTTTTAGATGAAGTCTCGCTTTTTCTCCCAGGCTGGGGTGCAGCTCACTGCAACCTCCGCTTCCCAGGTTCAAGCAAGGCTCACGCCTCAGCCCTCCAAGTAGCTGGGATTACAGGCACACGCCACCACACCTGGCTAATTTTTGCATTTTTAGTAGAGATGGGGTTTCACCATGTTGGCCAGGCTCGTCTGGAACTCCTGACCTCAAGTGATCTGCCTGCCTCAGCCTCCCAAAGTCCTGGGATTACAGGCGTGAGCTGCCACACCCAGCCCTGAGATATCTTCAAGAATTAACAAGTTATGATGGAAAGAATAGCAAATAAATTGTAAAAAATGTTAAATATAAAACCATAACAAATTTTGACATCTATTTTACCTGAGAGTATATCTTCAAAATATATGTTTCAGTCCCTTGTGGTTATTTTAAAAAGTTAATGTATTCAATTAAAAATATTGTACTTTACAGAGATAAAATTTTCAGGAATCTTGTTTCTGGGTACACTAAACCATTTCTTACTTTGATACGTTAAGCACCTCACGTATTGTTTTAGTTATTTTGGATAATTGGAATCTAGTATTTAAACTAAAAGGCTTTCAATAACACACAGGTAACAAAACAAGCATCCACTAAATTTATGTATTTTATAACAATTCATAATGAGTCTTAGGGAAGTGTTATAATAGAATCACATTACACAATTCATACCAAAAAAGGACTACAGAAAAATGCAACTTTTATTTAAAATAAGAGGGATAGAAAAACTCCATTTTTTACATTTGCTTAAATGAAGAAAATTTAAAAATGTTTATTTAATTCATTTATGTGGTTAGAGCAACAAAGAATGCAAAACAGGAAGGAAACAGCAGGCCTACTTTATACAAACAACACAAGGAAACTCCTTATTTTTGTAAAACTCTACATAAGAAACCCTATAGCAAATGTCATACTAAAAAGGGAATTTTGGATGCAGTTTCTTTAAGATTGGCTAAAATATAAGGATTCCTATTAGGTTTACACATATTACTAGAGATCTTGTTCAATGCAATAACAGAATAAATAGATATAAGGGCTATAAGAATAGGAAAAGTAGACATATATCTGTCATTACTAAGAAAAAATTTTGCCAAGCAAACTACTGGTCACTTAAAGAAATTTTTTCCTCTCTTTCTGCATTTAAATACAAAGCATTGAAGTTACTATTTTTGTCTGTTTCTGGAGAGCTAAAACTGATGTTTGTGCTCTTATTAGAAGCACATTTTTACATGTCTTTGATTAAGCTTATTAATTATGTTATTCAAGTTATTCATGATAATTTTGGTCACTGTAAATCTTTGCTTTTAGGGGGTAGTTAAGTTTCTCAACTAAAATAGATGATTATATTCCTTTTGGAATTTCTATCACAGTGCTTTTATATGTTTATAAAATTGAGTTGCTATGTATAGCTATGTTCATTGTCATTGATAAGAATTTAAAAATTATACTGTCCTTTATCTAGAAACTATCTTAACAAAAAAGGCAAGACAACTGTTATAAACCTGTTCATAACCTACCAAGGAAAATAAAACTAGATATGTTTGTTGAATTTAGTAAATCTGCATGTTTAAAATTCTTCACATATTAAAATGTTCTACCATCCTTATTTTTCTGTTACTTAACTAATTAGTACCCATGCTACTATTTCTTTTTCCCCTACAATTATAATGTATCTATATATTTTGATTTATCCCAATTAACATCTAATTAACCCATTCATCATCAATTTATAATGTGAGGAAATTTTTCATTGTAATTTCTGCAAATATTTTTTCTAACTCATTTATTTTCCTCACTATTTTGGAATCTACATAAGTTAGAGAAGTCTATGATTTAACTGTACCTTCTCATTTTGAAGAAAAGACTGACAAATTTATAAAAAAAAAAAAAACCCTCATCTTACCAGTAACTAGTTCTCCAGAAATTATTATTTGGTTATTCAACTCACCTAAGTTTTTTATTTTCACTATTATTTCTGTAAAGGTATTTTCAAATTATTCATTTTTGTAATGATGTGCTTCTTTCCAATTAAAGTTATAATCATACTTCTTTATATCTTTGAGAGTATTTATAAGTTGTTTTACATTCTTGTTTTATTTGGTCCACTAAACATGTTTGTATAGTATAAGATGCTCCTTTTGTTGTCTTTGTAAGGTTATATCTTTTTTTTCTCTGTTTACTACTAATATTCATATAGTTGTGTGTGTGTGTGTGTATATGGGAGATGGAGTCTCACTCTGTCACCCAGGCTGGAGTGCAGTGGTGCAATCTCAGCTCACTGCAACCTCAGCCTCCCGGGTTCAAGCAATTCTCCTGCCTCAGCCTCTCAAGTAGCTGGGACTACAGGCACGTGCCGCCATGCCTAGCTTATTTTTTGTATTTTAGTAGAGACAGGGTTCCACCGTGTTGCCCAGGCTGGTCTCAAACTCCCGAGCTCAGGCAATCCACCTACCTCGACCTCCCAAAGTGCTAGGATTACAGGTGTGAGCCACTGCACCTTGCCTGTATCGGTATCTTGTTTGAAAATCTATATTAAATAATAAGCACTAAAGCTTTCCCTAAGCTTGTGCCCCCTCTGGTGAGTTTATGGAGTAAATCCGAACATATGTCTCAAGATGGAATCCTCTAGAGGTATAGTCTGGGCTCAATCAGTCCCCATCCATCACTTTTCATCAGCAGATGCAGTTTTTAGAGAATTTACAAATGAGCCTTCTTCTGGAGGGCCATGTTTTGCATTGATATGGGTAAGAAGAGGGATGCCAGGGATATGGCTAGCATGCTTTCTCCTATTATTCATTCCTGCTGCAACCAGACTCAGGAGCCACTTTGACTCTGACCAGTAGTAGACTAATTCTTCTGTTTCTTTGTCAAGTGGACTTTTAACAGAATGGGGAAAATTCTAAACCAACTGTATAAAGCATTGAATTTCAATCCAAAACATATTTAGAATATACTCAAATTTTATAAAAGAAGCCAACTTCAAACGATTTTTTTTAATCAGGTAAAGTAATCCTGAAATTCACTCTGATTTACTTCCTGCACTCTAAAGGAAAAAGGGTGCTAGAAAAAATATTTACCTTTACATATATAAATGAACAGCTTAGCATTAAGGATACAGCCTAATACTCAATCCCACAACTATCACAGCTAGGAAAGTCATTAAGAGGAAGCTGGTGGTTGAAACCCTGCCAACCTGCATCTATCATTCTCAGTTTTTGCTTTATATTAGTGGTAAATTTAGTTCCCAATATATAGATTATCTAACTCTGACTAAATTTGTCCAACTTCTTGACCTTTCATGAACTGACAACCCACTGTCACACTTAAGTCACTTGATAATTGTGACTTTGCTGATCTCTGGCAAGGCCTAAGACTCATGACTTGAAAGCCCTACAGCCAATAAAACTTAATAACTTGCCATTAGGTTTCTAGTTAAGTCAGACAAATATGTACTTAAAAATTGAAATAGTTTATTAGATTATGTTATTTTATCCTTTTCAGTGTATATCTTTACTTTTAGATAACTAATATATACAAAAGGGAACAGGACTGTTGAAAAACTGAGTATTTTTAGTAAGCTATTAAAATTAAGTATATACAAGCGATATTATCTTCACTGTGAAGCTAGTAACTTAATTATATCAACGTAAGAAAATGTCACAGCATAAAAGGTTTTATTCACAAAGAATTCATTCAAAGACATAGACTATGTGATAGTCTATACACTGCTATAAAACATTGATTTAATTTGCCTAATAGTCAATATTAAATCTACATGTGTAATTAATAATTTACCATTACCAAAATAATCTTAGTACAGGCTGCCTCATTTTACTGTGTTTCACTCTTTTGCACATTGCAGATACTGTGCTTTTTTCAAATAGAAGGTTTGTGGCAACCCTGTGTCAAGCAAGTCTATCGACACCATTTCTCCAACAGTGTGTGCTCACATTATGTCTGTGTCACATTTTGCAAATTCTCACAATGTTTCAAGCTTTTCCACTATTAATATATATGGTATGGTGATCTGTGATCAGTGATATTTGATTTTACTATTGTAATTGTTTTGGGGCACCACAAACCACACTTTTATAAGACAGTAAAACTTAATTGATAAATGCTGTGTGTGTTCTGACCAGCTGATTCCCATCTCTCTCCCTCTCTTCAGGCCTCCCCATTACATAAGACACAACACTGTTGAAATTAAACCAATTAATAACTCTACAATGGCCTCAAAGTTTTCAAATGAAATGAAGAGTCACATATCTTTCTCTTCAAATCGAAAGCTAGAAATGATTATGCTTTGTGAAGAAGGAATGTTGAAAGCCAAACTAGGTGAAAAGCTAGGCCTCTCACACAAAACATTTAGCCAAGATGTGAATGCAAAGGAAAACTTCATGAAGGAAATTAAAAGTGCTACTCCAGTGAAGACACAAATGTTGAGAATACAAAACAGACTTATTACTATTATGGAAAAAGTTTGAGTGGTCTGGATAGAAGATCAGATCAGCCACATTTCCTTAAGCCAAAGCCTAATCCAGAGGAAGGCTCTAACTCTCTCCAATTCTATGAAGGCTGATTGATGAGGAAGCTGCAGAATAAAAGGGGGACTTAGCAGAAGTTGGTTCATAAGTTTAAAGGAATGTAGCCATCTCCATAAAAGTGCAAGGTGAAGCAGCAAGTGTTGATGAAGAAGCTGCAGCAAGTTATCCAGAAGATCTAGCTAAGATCACTGATAATGGTGGCTACACTAAACATCAAATTTTCAACACAGATCAAACAGCCTTCTATTGGAAGACACAACTAAAGACATTCATAGCTAGGAAAAAAGTCAACACCTGCTTCAAGTCTTCAAAAAGACATGTTGACTCTTGTTAGAATTGTAGCTGATGACTTAAGTTGAAGCTGAAGCTTACTTACCATTCTAAAAATCCTTAGAAATTATGTTACATCTACTCTCCCTGTGCTCTATAAATGGAACAACAAAGCCTGGGTGACAGCACTTGTGTTTATGACATGATTTACTGAACATTTTAATCCAGAAAAAAAGGTTCCTTTCAAAATATTACTGTTCATTGACAATGTACTAGTCACACAAGAGCTCTGATATTAATATTACAGGATATTAATATTTTCATGACTGCGAACACAACATCCACTCTACAGCTCATGGATCAAGAAATCATTGTGACGTTCAAGTCTCATTTAAGAAATGATTTTTGAGAGGCTAGAGCTGCCACAAATAGTGATTTCTATGATGGATCTTGGCAAAGAAAATGTAAAACCTTCTGGAAAGAATTCACCATTCTAGAAGCCACTGAAAACATTCATGATTCATAGGAGGAGGTCATAATATCAACATTAAGAAAGATTTAGAAGAAGTTGATTCCAGCCCTTATAAATTAGTTTGAGGGGTTCAAGACTTCAGTGGAGGAAGTCACTGCAAATGTAGTGAAAATAGCAAGAGAACTAGAATTAGAAATGAAGCCTGAGGATGTAACTGAATTGCTGCAATCTCATGATAAAACCTGATGGATGAGGATTTACTTCTCATGGATTAGCAAGGAAAGTGGTTTCCTGAGATGAAATCTACTCCTGATGAAGTTGC
This sequence comes from Homo sapiens, assembly GCF_000001405.40. Lineage (NCBI taxonomy): Eukaryota > Metazoa > Chordata > Mammalia > Primates > Hominidae > Homo > Homo sapiens. Next base: position 33,671,664 of record NC_000023.11, read on the forward strand.
TATAAACACTGTTGAAATTATAACAAAGGATTTAGAATATTAAATAACCTTAGTTAATAAAGCAGTGGCAGTGTTTGAGATTGATTCCAATTTTGAAAGCAATTCTATTGTGAGTAAAATGCTATAAAATAGCTCCACATGCTACAGAGAAATCTTTCCTGAAAGGAAGAGTCAATTGATGTGCCTAACTTCATTGTTGTCTTATTTTAAGAAATTGCCACAGTCACCCTAACTTTCAGCAACCAATATCCTGATAAGTCAGCAGCCATACATATCGAAGTAACATCCTCCACCAGCAAAAACACTATGACTTCCTGAAGTGTCAGATAACCGTTTGCATTTTTTAGCAATATTTTAAATTAAGGCATGCACATTGTTACACACAATGCTATTACACACTTAGACTACAGTATAGTGTAAGTATAAATTTTATATGAACTGGGAAACAAAAAAAAATTTTGTGTGACTCACTATTGTAATATTTGCTTTATTGTGGTGGTTTGAAGCTGAATCTGCAATATCTCCAAAGCATGCCATATTTTACCTCTAAAAAATAATTTGCGTCATACTTAAAGGACAATGAGGAAAAGAGAAAAATCCCAACAGTTACACATTCCCAAAGTACATATTTTCTTCTGTATACATCATTTTTCAAGTTGAATGGTATATTATTAATTCCTTAACAAAATATATAAAGAATTTTAGCAATTATTTTTAAAAATTGGTACTTTCATATTGGTTGCAAAAAGTTGTATTAGCTCCTTCAAATATATACATCAATTTGTTGCTCAGGGAGGAAAAAAAATCCCTGAAAACTGTATAAAATTAGTATGCACATATTTGTAAACAAGTATAGCATCATAACACAGTTCTTTTCTTATCAGTTTTTCCTCTTCAAACGTTGTGTTCTTAAAGCAAGTCATACATCAGGCCAGGCGTGGTGGCTCATACCTGTAATCCCAGCACTTTGGGAGGCTGAGGTGGGTGGATTACAAGGTCAAGAGATCGAGACCATCCTGGCCAACATTGTGAAACCCCGTCTCTACTAAAAATACAAAAATTAGCCAGGCGTGGTAGCAGGCGCCTGTAATCCCAGCTACTTGGGAGGCTGAGGCAGGAGAACCACTTGAACCTGGGAGGCGGAGGTTGCAGTGAGCCGAGATCACGCTACTGCACTCCAGCCTGGTGACAGAGCGAGACTCCATCTCAAAAAACAAAACAAAACAGAACAAAAAAAACACGTCATACACCTATGACACTGTATTTCAATCTTAGTTGTTACAGGATTAACTATCTTATCATAATGGACTACTCTTGTAGTAATAAAATCCTCTTGAAAATTACGCATTGTTGATTCATAAATGTATAGCCCAAAGACTTGTCCCAAAATGCAGATTTGTCTGTCATCTAGGGCCACTTAGAACTGCTTTTTTAAAAAATTTTTGGTCCAGCATCATATGAAGATTTTAGGAGTGCACTAGGAAACAATAGCCTGGTTTCTACTTTTTTAATTGATGTCAGAACTTCCGATCAAATCAGGAAGAAATTGAATCTTTCCTCAACATGTTTGAGTTCCTCCTCTTTATTAACTTAGTGATCACAATTGAGGAGTATATTTATTATTACTAGTCCACATTTATCTCCTCCTTTAATCAGTTATTACTTTTGGCATGATTATTTTTGATACAATTCTTTTCTTGATGTCAGAGTAATATCTACTGATTTCAACTCTCATTTTTATGTTTTGTCACATATTCTATTATTTTTTGATATGAACTTTCACTCTATGTGTGTCCCAATCAAAAGTCTATAATCTTCGCTTTATTTTAGTAAAGCCTTATAAGGCATCTTTCAAAATTATAGTCAAAATGGCATGTTTAAGCTTAGATAAATGCATAGTGTGTTTCAAATTGTACACACTGTACCATTTCTGACAGGAGGGAGCATCTATTTTAACTATGCCCTAATGAGCACTAAACCTTCTGATTTCAATTTTATACATCTGATGATGGCATGAATTTTTTTGAGACTGGCTTCTGGCTTGATACTTTTCAAACTTTGGCATACCATGCCCTTGTGTCAGTAGCTTGATGAGTGGGCAAAGTGGAGAATAAGGAGTATTCCCAGGCATTCCTCTGGGAAGGTAAGCACCATTGTAACCACACTTGGAAGGATGGCAAAACACATCACTATCCCCCATAATCTCCAAATCAATGTATTCCCAACTCAACTTTCTCTTTACTAAACATTGAAAATGCCTGCAGTCACTGCAATGCCCCCGACACAAAGGAAAGTATGATAGAGAAGTCAAAATGAAAAGAGACAATGTCTTAACTAATGATGGTTTAAAAATCTTGGTTTTGAAAATTTTACAAAAACAGATTTCTAGGACTCCTGTAGGGCTTTAGAAGGGGCTCTGCAATTGTAGGACCAGGAAGCTTAAACTTCATTAGCTTCCCAGTAAAGATGCCTCAGCTATAAAGATAAAACACAATTTTGTATATGTTTTACTTAGGGTTTCTCTTGGTCATTGATGAAAGTTTCTTTCTGGGACATAAACTTTTCACGTTACCTAAGTTCATTTTGAGGTCTGAATATTTTTTAGAATACTTTACTTGTTATCTCCTCTTTCTGGTTTTTCCTCTTGCAATCTCACTTATCCATGTTCATCTTGAAGGCACATCTCTCTGGCCAGATCTATAACTCATAAAGGTACCTCACGAAGCTTCTTAGGCAATTTTATTTATTTTATTATTATTTCAGTAGTTTGCGGGAAGAGGTGGTATTTGGTTACATGGATAAATTATTTAGTGGTGATTTCTGAGCTTGTGGTGCACCCATCACCAGAGCAGTGTACACTGCACCCAACGTGTACTCTTTTGTCCCTCACCCATCCCCACTCTTCCTCCCAAGTCCCAGAAGTCCATTATATCATTCTTATGCCTTTGCATCCTCATAGCTTAACTCCCACTTACAAGTGGGAACATACGATGTTTGGTTTTTCATTCCTGAGTACTTCACTTAGAATAATGGCCTCTAACTCCATCCAAGTTGTTACAAATGCCATCATTTCATTCCTTTTTATGGTTGAGTAGTATTCCATGGTGTATATATACCACATTTTCTTTATCTACTCATTGTTTATTTAGTCTGGTTTCTTAAAGTATTTATTAACAATTTTACCAAGTCTCTTGGTCCAAACAAAACAAGAGCATTAGGACCCTAAGTTATGACTAACTGGCCTATTAATTTGGTACAGTTAATCTTGATCCCTGCTTCTCCCAATCCTCTACACCATTCACCCCCACCATGATTTATCACCTAGGTAGGATAGGTAATTCTACCAAGGCTCCAGCCTTGCTCAAATAATCCATGGAGAATACTGTTTATAAGAAGCCTACTTGTAAGGCCCAGAATGCCTGTTTTGAAAATTCTTCAGTCATTTAAACCAGTTTATACTATATATTTATTGCCATGAGCTCTGTGCCAGCCACATGGCAATATTGTGAGATATTCTCGTAAGAGAAAAAGAAAACTGGAAGAATGTATTTATTAACTAAAATGTTAACTAGGAACATTTCCTAAGAAGTCATATGATGGCCATAGTTTTATCTGTGTAATATATCTATTATAAAGACAAATGAGAACAGTATATGGTAATCATTAAATGTGAAGGCTCTGGACAGAGACTGCCAAGTGGAAAGTCCTGGTCTACAATTTATAAATGGTATACACCCTCAGGAAAGTCAATTGCCAGTCTGTGACTCAGTTTCTTTGTCTGAGAAAAGGACACAGACTGTAGTGAGTATTAATAAACTAATATATAGGAACATTTAGAATGATCCCAGGCTGGTAGCAAATAATCTAATTATGATTAATTAATTAATGACTCACACTATGATACTTTGTATGTTTAAAAGTGATCCTGAGGGTATATATATTGTGTGGTACATACATAATATATATTGATGTATTAATAGGTCATTTAAAGGTCACATGGATAAATCAATAAATTTGTATATTAAAACGTATATATACAAAATAATCATATCCTGAGACAGTACATTTTTAAATTACTTGCGTAGTCGTTTTAAAAATCCACCAGAGGAACTCTTTTATGCATTTCTTCACCCAGAGTGAAAAAGGAGATGTAACTTTTCAAATTCTATTTTTCTTGCTTCATTTTTAGCTGACCAATCATTAAAAAATTATCAAACTGGAAAAAAAGCATTTAAACTGAAAATCTCAATCAAAACATAATAAGCAGAACTATAATCCAGTATCAACATATTTTCCTCTGCCTAAAGCTAAAATACCTTTTCTTATTAAGAACCATACAAGAATCCCATTCCCCTTGCAAAGGAGGCACATTTATCTGAGGGTAAATTGTGCAATATTACCATCATAATTTCAAAGGAAAGAATGAAAAGCAAACACAACTCTCAAAATGCTCGGGCTAGTGTTCACTAAATTCTGTTGTCGTAGTTGTTAAAATGATTTCAGGGATAAAAAGAAAACTGAAAACTAAACCTTTTATATAAGATGCCAATAAAGTTGCTACATCATCTGAGTTACTCAAATCCAGGTTTTATTTCATAAATTTTAACCTAGCAAATACTAAATCTTTAATCTTAGCAAGGTTACATAGTATAACTGTAGGTCAACTAGAGCAGACACCAAGAGACCTGGAGTGGGGGACCTCGTTCCACAATGGTTGAACATACTTGAGAAAATCAATTCAAGTCTCAGTACTTACTGTCAAACTGTCAGAGGAGTTTTAAAGATATATGAGCATAATTCTATACTAGATGAGAGATTAGGGCCACATAAACCTATGGATGCTCAGATAAACATCAAAGAATTGTGACATTGACCAAATCAAATTTAACAACACAAACCAGATTTTAAATTTTAATACTTAGGGAAGACAAAAAAAATTTCATTAAAATGGTAACCACCAGAAATAATCTGAACTAAGAATCACAATGCTACAATAACATTTGAGAAAACACATTAATATGACATACTACTAAATTATTTGAAAATATATCACAACAGAATATGAAATACAAATGTAATATTATTTTAAAGGCACTCTAATAGATTTAAACAAAAGAAAAGCAACTTCAGCAAATTCAGATGGTTACTTTTTCCTGAAATATATATAAATATTAATGTGCAAATTTTAAAAATATATTTCCATCTTATAATTGAAGCCACATCTGAGTAAAGAACCCTGATTAAAGTTTCAGGAATACACATTTGTGAACAATAACAACAAAACAATGGTAACAAGAACTTCTTAGCAAATTACTATATTAATGAAGCAAAGAACAAAACCCCAAATGCAACTATTGAGAGCCCAATTGTCATAAGCATACTATTTCTTAAAATTATTGATCTCTGAACTATTTTTCAATAACTCACAAGGTCAATAAATGCAGCATGTAGGGACCATTTCAGAGTGTGGGACAAAACCATTCCCGTGCATACACATGATTAGACTAAGTTTCCAATTTATTTGGCCTTAGATAACGAACATCAGCAGAAGGTGGGTAGCTACGCAGGGCAGGTTAGTAATTGAGCGAGGACTGGCTTCCTTGCATTCAAGGTTTCTTGTGAAGGAACACTACCTATGGGAGGGCCAGCATTCCATCTGAGAAGTTACACTCATTGCTTCCTTTTTAGACTCAGGGCTTATATCATAGTTTTAAAGTTTATACCAACAGTGCACTTTCTGAAATGTCAGGGTATATGTACTAATATTTGTTTCTATTAGTGTTTAAAATCAACTCACAAAAGCCACATCATTGAGAGAAAACTGAACCAGTGCTGAGGAAGCCTCAATAAATAGCTGTCTCTGTATAAAGACTATTTTCTCAAGAAATAGCCCTCATAATTAATACTCCACAGAATGTGCTTTGAGGTCTGCCACTCTAAATATTTTGAACTTTAGCCTTGGAGAATAACATTGGTGGTGCTGCACACGTAAAACACTCTGGGCTCCCTACGGATTTGATGTCACTGTATTTATGAACTTGCAGTCAGAAACAGCCATATGCTATATACTACTGAAATTATTACAGAGCTGTTCTTGAGTGGTATTACCAAACACATAGTACACCTTAGTATCAGTACCTACAAAAACTATGGCCTGTATGAGAAATTCATTTTAATCTTTTGGATACTGTAAACCTGTGGAGTATACACATTTAGTTCTTTTCTTTGGCTGCTAGGAAGCTCAAAGCCCAATCTGTAGCTCACAGCTAGATAACGTGTTGACTCTTATGCTGCTTACCTTCAGATTTACCCATTTCCCTGCCTTTATCTTCCCTTTGCGCCAATTATATATTTAATATGTTGCCTCAAGTTATTTCAAAAATAATGAAGAGACAATGTGAGTAGAGAGGCAAATATACTGTTTTATATATTCACATAAATTATGCATATTTATTTTATATATATTTATATAAAATATAATGGGCATTTATTTTACATATGCTTATGTACAGAACTGAGTTTTTAGCCCAAAAAAATAAAAGTGATAAAGCTATTACTAACCTAATAGGATTAAAGGCATATAATGTAAATGTGCACCTTTATTTAAAGAAATTAAGTAGCAACAAAAAAGTATGCCGGATCTTGTTTCTGAAGACCTTGATTTGAAATTTTTCATTTTAATACCTAGATGACCTTAGCTGATTAAATTTAATAATATTTATAAAAATGTTTTGAATTGTAAAACTCCTTAAGTAATCAAGGTTTTAAGATGCAATATAAATCAATCAAACAAAAAAGTTAGTATGAGTAACACTAGTGGGAAGTGAGTTTTTAGGAAGATTCTTCCTTTCCAAGAAAGGCTTGAGGGAGTGAGACACTTGATTTTGAGGAGGCCTCCATGTAAGGTCAGCTGATAGAATTTACTAGAAATTATATAAGGGTCTTCCACAGCCCTTCTCACTGAAAAAAAAAATCCTTGTAAGAGAATACACCTGGCCTGTCTGATTATCCCTAAGACAGTAAATTATGGATTTACGAGCCACAGTTGTGTTAGAGAATGGATGTTAATCAGGTAGTCTTTCTTGCAAGGTCTAAAAGAGAGAGAGATCCTGAAAGGAAATGGATCATCTGGGCCTGTACAGACCACACAGAATTACTACTCATCAGTCACTGAAACAAACTGTGTGTCAGTGCAGGAATTGGCACCATAGAAAGCTTCATCTGCTGGTTTGGGACTTCCCAGCTGCTGGGTTGGTAATATCCCTAATATCCCCCTCTAATCATTAGTAAACCTTGGTGCATGAGGCATTGTACTAGTCCATTTTCATGCTGCTATAAAGACATACCCGAGACTGGGTAATTTATAAAGGAAAGATGTTTAATTGACTCACAGTTCTGCGTGGCTGTGGAGGCCTCAGGAAACTTGGAATCATGGTGGAAGGGGGTGCAAACACGTCCTTCTTCACCAGGCAGCAAGAGAGACAAGTGCAGAGTGAAGGAGGAAAAGCCCCTTATAAAACCATCAGATCTCGTGAGAACTAACTCACTAACAAGAGAACAGCAAGAGGGAACTGCCCCCATGATCACTATCACCTTCCACGAGGTCTCTCCCCCAAGAAGTGGGGAATTACAATTCAAATTACAATTCAAGATGAGATCTGGGTGAGGATACAGAGCCAGGCCATATGAGGTATCTATCTCTACCCATTTATCTGCCTATCAATTTATCGATAGATTTATCTGTCCACCCAAATATACACCCATCCACCAACCCAAACAACTATGGAAAGGAAATAATATTTAGAAAAAGCTTAAGTGACAATAAAACAAAGAAAATGTCAACAACATTTGTCATTGTAAATAAAATAGACAGAAAATATGATGCAGCCAGATAAACGTGATTTCAAATCAAGCTGTGAAAACTTAGGCAATTTATGTAACCTTTCTGAGCTTCAGTTTGAATGCCTATTAAGTCCGAAAGTAATAAAACATCCATAGTATTGCTATAAAATTACCTGACATGTAGATGAAGCAAACAGCACAATGTTCAAAAATCAATAAATGGAAATATAACCCGACTTTAGCAAAAAGAAAATAAATATAACAGATTCCCTTAAACCTTCATAATATTTGAACAAAAGTAAAAGCAAATATAATACATGTAACAAAGTTTGGCTTTAGTCTGAGTATCAGCATAAAATTTGTTATATTTTTGCCCTGGGCTTTTGGAGATAGAATACTTACTACAAAGTCATTCTGGAATTCCCAAAATATGAGTAATCAATGACAATATTATCAAATAGGTTAATATCATCTCTATTCAGGTCAAAAATGTAGCTAATATGTAAAAAGCATGACATCAAATGTAGAGTTGACATCCATATATACACATTCAAATACAATACACATTGTAGATGAAACTTAGTAATGTCTCCTCATGTCAGCTCAAATATGAATATGAATAATGTAAATATTATTGTAAAATATGTTGAAATAATTCATGATAGTTGTGAAGCTGTTGATTTAATATACAAAAATAATTCTTAATAATTTTAAATAGTTAAACAAATAGGGAAATCAGTTGTGAGTTTCTATATATGTAAAGAGATTGTACTGGTGTACCTAGGTAACTTTAGGTAGAAAGAAAATATTTATAAAAATGTCACCAATAAAAGGAAAAGAAAAGAAATTAGATAATAACATAACTAGTTTTGTAGACTTGTTTTATGTGCTAAAATTCATAACATTAAAATACACTTTAAAAAAATTTATTGTCTAGTTATTTTACTGCATTTAAGCCATATTCCTCAAGAAAACATTTTATTTGTGAATTCTTCATATCTCTTAAAGAAAAATTAAAAGCAGAATGCCAAATTCACCACCTCAAACCAAAAGAGAAATATCTCAAAAATCACGCAAAATGTCATGAAAAATCATCTTTGATGTAGATACAATAAAGGATACAAGGAATATGAAGAGGTGTATGTTACAGATAAATAGGGTAATCTCAAAATATGTTCCACCTCCACTGGTCTGGGTTGAAAGTAAAGTATCTATTTGGTATTATAAATGTTAGTTATACTGACTGTAGAAGCAATATCAGAGTTGACAGTCTTGAGAAATACAAAGTCAAACTTATAGAAATTTAACTTCTGAAATGTTTAAATGTTTAAACATTTAAATATAAATATAATGTTCAATATTGTTATTAATGTTAAATATGTTTAATATGTTTAGTGTTTAAATATAATTATATACTTTATTTTAGATACATACAAAACAAGTATATTCTAAGATAGAGATACGTGACTTTAAATTTTATTTCTATGAAATATTGATTTCAACGCTCAACATTTAATAAAATGTATATTAGGTACATCTCTAAGTGGGAATTCAATGATGACTTCATTAGATGGAAACCTCATTCTGCTAAGAGGGGAGCATTTGATGATGTCTTAGCTATTTTGTTAAAAATAAGAGAAATAAGAGCAAAAATGTCTACTTTCAAGTTAATTCTGATTCAAAACAGAAACAAGAGCTAATGGACAGCATGAAACCTATAGGAAGCTTGGAAACTGTGTTAAGGAGAAAAAATTAAATGCCAGAAGCAGACATACATAATAAAGACTAGGAAAACACATTCAAGAGAAAGTCAGGATAGGCTGAAAGGTATAAATGGGCAAATATCATGAATATGGACTCTGAAAGATTTATTATATATATTTTGTATACTATATATATTTTTAATATTGTCTCATTTTTTAATTTTTGTGGGTACATAACAGGTGTATATATTTATGGGGCACATAAGATGTTTTGATACAGGCACGCAATTTGACATAAGCACATTATGGAGAATGGGGTATCCATCTGTTAAAGCATTTATCCTTCGAGTTACAAATAATCCAATTACACTCTTTCTTTTTAAATATACAACTAAGTTATTATTGACTATAGTCAACTTGTGTTGTATCAATTTACACTCCTAACAACAGGGTACAAGAGTTTTCTTTTCTTTTCTCCATTTTCTCGCCAACATTTACTATTGCCTGTCTTTTGGATATAAGTCATTTTAATTGGAGTGAGATGATACCTAATTGTAGTTTTGATTTTCATTTCTCTGATGGTCAGTGATGTTGAGCACCTTTTTATATACCTGTTTGCCATTTGTATATATTCTTTTGAGAAATGTCTATTCAAATCTTTTGCTCATTCTTTGATTGGATTATTATATATTTTTTTCCTATAGAACTGTTTGAGCTCATTACACATTCTGCTTATTAATCTCTTGTCAGATAGGTAGTTTGCAAATATTTTCTCCCATTCTGTGAGTTGATGCTTCATTTTGTTGATTGTATCATTTGCTGTGCAGAAGCTTTTTAACTTGATGTGATCCCATTTGTCCATTTCTGCTTTTGTTGCCTGTGCTTGTGGGGTATTGCTCAAAAATTTTTGCCCAGACCAATATCCTGGAGATCTTCCCCCAATATTTTCTTGTATGAATTTCACAGTTTGAGGTCTTAGATTTAAGTTTTTAATCCATTTTAATTTGGATTTTTTATAAGATGAGAAATAGGGGTCTTATTTCATTGTTCTGCAACATGAATATCCAGTTTTCCCATCACTGTACATTGAAGAGACTGTCTTTCCCTCCAGTGTATGTTCTTCACACCTTTGTCAAAACTGCATTAACAGTAGGTGCATGGATTTGTTTCTGGGTTCTCTATTCCACTTCATTGGTCTATGTGTCTGTTTTTATGCTAGAACCATGCTTCTTTCCCATATCTCTGGAGTATCATTTGAAGTCAGGTAACGTGACTCCTCCGGTTTTCTTATTTTTGCTTAAGACAGCTTTGGCTATTCTGGGTCTTTTGTCATTCCATATAAATTTCAGGATTGTTTTTTCTATTTTCTATGAAGAATATAATTGGTATTTTGAAAGGGATTGCATTTAATCTGTAGATTGCCTTGGGTAGTATGGACATTTTAACAATATTGATTCTTCCAATCCATAAACACAAAATATTTTTCCATTTTTGGGTGTCCTCTCCAATTTCTTTCTTCAGTGTTTTATAGTTTCCTTATAGAGATCTTTCACCTAGTATTTAATTATATGTGTGGCTACTATAATTGGGATTAATTTTTAAAATTCATTTTCACATTGTTCACTGTTGGCATATAGAAATGCTATTGAATTTTGTATGTTAATTTGGTATCCTGCATCTTTACTGAATTGGTATACCAGTTCTCAAAATTTTCCTGTAGAGTCTTTAGATTTTTCTAAATATAAGATCATATCATCTACAAACAAGGATAATGTGACTTCTTCCTTTCCAATTTGGATGCAATTTATGTCTTTCTCTTGTCCAATTGCTCTAGCTAGGACTTCCAATATTATGTTGAATAAAGTTCATATGGAACCAAAAAACAGCCCGCATTGCCAACTCAATCCTAAGCCAAAAGAACAAAGCTGGAGGTATCATGCTACCTGACTTCAATCTATATTACAAGGCTATAGTAACCAAAACAGCATGGTACTGGTACCAAAACAGAGATACAGACCAATGGAACAGAACAGAGCCCTCAGAAATAATGCCGCATATCTACAACTATCTGATCTCTGACAAACCTGACAAAAACAAGAAACAGGGAAAGGATTCCCTATTTAATAAATGGTGCTGGGAAAACTGGCTAGCCATATGGAAAGCTGAAACTGGATCCCTTCCTTACACCTTATACAAAAATTAATTCAAGATGGATTAAAGACTTAAATGTTAGACCTAAAACCATAAAAACCCTAGAAGAAAACCTAAGCAATACCATTCAGGACATAGGCATGGGCAAGGACTTCATGTCTAAAACACCAAAAGCAATGGCAACAAAAGCCTAAATTGACAAATGGGATCTAATTAAACTAAAGAGCTTCTGCACAGCAAAAGAAACTACCATCAGAGTGAACAGGCAACCTACAGAATGGGAGAAAATTTTTGCAATCTACTCATCTGACAAAGGGCTAATATCCAGAATCCACAAAGAACTCAAACAAATTTACAAGAAAAAAACAAACAACCCCATCAACAAGTGGGCAAAGGATATGAACAGACACTTCTCAAAAGAAGACATTTATGCAGCCAAAAGACACATGAAAAAATGCTCATCATCACTGGCCATCAGAGAAATGCAAATCAAAACCACAATGAGATACCATCTCACACCAGTTAGAATGGCAATCATTAAAAAGTCAGGAAACAACAGGTGCTGGAGAGGATGTGGAGAAACGGGAACACTTTTACACTGTTGGTGGGACTGTAAACTAGTTCAACCATTGTGGAAGTCAGTGTAGCGATTCCTCAGGGATCTAGAACTAGAAATACCATTTGACCCAGCAATCCCATTACTGGGTATATACCCAAAGGATTATATATCATGCTGCTATAAAGACACATGCACACGTATGTTTATTGAGGCACTATTCACAATAGCAAATACTTGGAACCAACCCAAATGTCCATCAGTGATAGACTGGATTAAGAAAATGTGGTACATATACACCATGGAATACTATGCAGCTATAAAAAATGATGAGTTCATGTCCTTTGTAGGGACATGGATGAAGCTGGAAACCATGATTCTCAGGAAACTATTGCAAGGACAAAAAACCAAACACCGCATGTTCTCACTCATGGGTGGGAATTGAACAATGAGAACACATGGACACAGGAAGGGGAACATCACACACCGGGGCCTGCTAGAGGGTGGGGGGAGGGGGGAGGGATAGCATTAGGAGATATACCTAATGTAAATGACGAGTTAATGGGTGCAGCACACCAACATGGCATATGTATACATATGTAACAATCCTGCACGTTGTGCACATGTACGCTAAAACTTAAAGTATAATAAAAAAAGAAAAAAGAAAGTAGAGGAAAAAAAAAACAGTGGTGATAGTGGGTATCCTTGCTGTTTTCCAGATCTTAGAGAAAAGGCTTTTGGTTTTTCCCCATTCACTATGATATTACCTGTGGGCCTATCTGTCATATATGGCTTTTATCATGTTGAGGTATATTTCTTCTGTCCCCAGATTTTTAAGGGTTTTTTTTTTTATCATGATGGGATGTTGAATTTTATGAAAACCTTTTTCAGCATCAAGTGAAATGATCATATGGTTTTTATCCTTCATTCTGTATATATGATGTATCACATTGATTGATTTTTATTCATTGAACCATCCTTTCATTCCAGGGATAAATCCCACTTGGTCATGATGAATGATCTTTATATCAATAACACATTGTTGAATTTTGTTTGCTAGTATTTTGTTGATTTTGCAACAATATTCATCAGAGATATTGGCCTGTAGTTTTTTTTATGTTTTTTTAAAAATGTGTCTGTCTGATTTTGGTATCAGGGTAATGCTGGCCTCATAGAATGTTTGGAAGTATTCCCCCTTCTCTATTTTTTTGGAATATTTTAAGTAGAATTGGTATTAACTCTTCTTTAACTGTTAGATAGAATTCAGCAGTAAAGTCATCAGGTCCCAGGCTTTTCTTTGCTGGGAGACTTTTTATTACAGCTTCAGTTTCATTAGCTGTTATTAACCTGTTCCAGTTTTTTATTTCTTCCTGGTTCAATATTGGTAGGTTGTATCTAGGAATTTGACCATTTCTTCTAGATTTTCCAATTTATTAGCATATAGTTGCTCATAGTAGGCACTAATGATGGTTTGAATTTCTGCAGTATCAGTTCTAATGTCAGCTTTTTCATTTCTGATTTTATTTGAACCTTTGTTTTTCTTAATAAGTCTGGCTAAAGAGATGTCAATTTTGTTTAACTTTAAAAAAAACAACTTTTTGTTTCATTGGTCTTTTATATTTTTTGTTCAAATTTATTTCTGCTCTGATCTTATTTCTTTTCTTCTACCAATTTTGGGTTTGGTTTGCTCTTGCTTTTCTAGTTATTTAAGATACATCTTTAAATTGTTCATTTGAAGTCTTCCTTCTTTTTTGACGTAAGAAATTGTAGCTGTAAACCTCCAAGTTAGTATTACCTTTACTGTGTCACATAGGTTTTGGTATGTTGTGCTTCCATTATTATTTGTTTCAAGACATTTTTCAATTTCTTTCTTCATTGACCCACTTGTCATTCGGGAGCATATTGCTTAATTTCCATAGGTTTGAATAGTTTCCACACGTTCTATTGTTATTTATTTATAGTTTTATTTCATTGTGATCAGGGAAGATGATTCATATCATTTCAAGTTTTTGAATGTTTTAAGACTTGTTTTGTGACCTAACATATGGTCTACCCTTGAGAATGATCCATGTGCTGATCCATGGGATGAGAAGAATGTGTATTCTTCTTGGATGAACTGTTCTGTAAATATCTATTAGATCCACTTGGCCTATAGTGCAGATTAATTCTGATGTTTCTTTGTTATTTTCTGTCTGGAAGATCTGTTCAATGCTGAAAGTGGGGTGTTGAAGCCTCCAGCCATTATTATTTGGGGCCTATCTCTCTCTTCAGTTCTAATAATGTTTCCTTTATGTATCTTGGTGCTCTAGTGTTGAGTACATATATATTTAAAATTCTCATATCCTCTTGCTGAATTGACTACTCTATCATTATATAGTGACGTCATTTGTCTCTTCTTACAGTTTTGGTGTTAAAACCTATTTTGTCTGATGTAAGTGTAGCAACTCCTGCTCTTTTGTGCTTTCCATTGGCATGGGATAATATTTTTCCATCCCTTTAATTTCAGTCTGTGTGTGTCTTTATAGGTGAAGTATGTTCCTTGAAGGAAACAGATCAATGGATCTTGTTTTTTCATTCATTCAGCTAGTCTGTCTTTTGGTTGGAAAGTTTAGTCCATTTATATTCAATGTTATTATTCATAAGCAAAGACATACTCCTGCCATTTTATTATTTGTTTTCTGATTGTTTTGTGGTCTTCTCTTCCTTCTTTCTTTCCTTACTGTTTTTCTCTAGGGAGGGTAATTTTCTCTGATATGACTTAGATTTGTGTGTGTGGGTGTGTGTGTGTTTCTCTTGTATGTTTTTGGTTTTTGGTTTTAGGATACCATAAGGCTTGCAAATACTATGTTATAACTCATTATTTTAACCTAATAACAACGTAACACAATTTGCATGAAGAAATAAGCAAAAATAAATAAAAACTTCATTCCCCTGCTTTTTATTTTCTCTATTGATATCTTTTTGTACTCACTATGTCTTGAAAAGTTGTTGTAGTTACTATTTTTGTTTGGTTCATCAGGTAGTCTTTCTACTTAGGATAAGAGTAGCTTAAACACCACAGTTTTAGTGTTATAATATTCTGATTTTTTCCTGTGTACTTAAAATTACCAGTGAGTTTTTTCCTTCAGGTGATTATTTATTTTTCATTAGTGTCCTTGTCTTTCTGATTGAAGTACTCCATTTAGCATTTTTTGTAAGACAGGTCTGGTTTTGATGAAATTCCTCAGCTTTTTTTTTCAGGAAAAGTCTTTATTTATCTTTCATATTTGAAGGAATTTTTTCCAGATATACAATTCTAAAGTTTGGTTTTTTTTCCTTCAGCATTTCAAATATGTCATGCCACTGTCTCCTGGCCTGCAAGGCTTCTGCTGGCAAATCCATTGCCAGATGTATTGGAGCTCCATTGTATGTTATTTGTTTATTTTCTTTTGCTGCTTTTAGGATCCTTTCTTTATCCTTGACCTCTGGGAATTTGATTAATAAATGCCTTGAGGTAGTCTTTCCTTTGGGTAAATGTGCTTGCTGTTTGTTCTATAACTTTCTTGTGCTTGGATACTGACATATTTCACTAGGTTTGGGATATTCTCTATTATTATACCTTTTTATAAACTGTCTACCCCTATCTCTTTCTTTATTTCCTCTTTAAGGCCAATAACTCAGATTTGCTCTTTTGAGTCTATTTTCTAGATTCAATAGCCATGCTTCGTTGTCTGTTATTCTTCTTTGTCTCCTTTGACTGTGTATTTTCAAATAGCCTGTCTTCAAGCTCACTAATTCTTCCTTCTGCTTGATCAATTTTGAAAGCAATCTGATGCATGCTTCAATATGCGTTTTTGAACTAGAGCGTTTCTGCTTAATTTAATAATTATTTCAATCATTTTGTTAAACTTATCTGATGGAATTCTGAATTCCTTTTCTGTGTTACCTTGAATTTCTTTGAGTTTTCTTAACACAGCTATTGTGAATTCTCCGTCTGAAAGGCCACTTACCTATGTGTCTCCAGGATTGTTCCCTGGTGATTTGTTCATTTGGTGAGGTCATGTTTTCCTGGATGGTGTTGATGCTAGTAAGTATTCCTTGGTGTCTAAAGAGTTATTATTTATTGTAGTCTCACTGTTTATGCCTATTCTTACTCACTATTTATGCCTATTCATACTCATACTCATGTTACACCTATTCATGTTCATTTTTTATTTATAAGCCCTATGACTCGTGTAAGAGCTGCAGTCCTTATGGCCTAAACTGCCTTTCAGGTTTAAACACCACAATTTTAGTGTTATAATATTCTGTGTTTTCCTGTGTACTTACAATTACCAGTGAGTTTTGTACCTTCAGGTGATTGCTTATTGTTCATTAATGTCCTTTTCTTTCTGATTGAAGTACTCCCTTTAGCATTTTTAGTAAACACAGAGCACTGTAGCCCTCAGTTGTGAGGTTTGCAGGAACTCAAGTTCCCACTGCTGGTATCAACAATTCCTCTCCGGCTAGGACTGGTTTAAATGCTACCTCTGTGTGTGGGCATCAGCTGAATTTGGTCCAGTTTTCCTTTTTGCTCTAACATGACAGCACTGAGTTCAATGCGTCAAAATTGCTGTGTTTTCCCACCTCCTTTCATATGTTTTATATATAACTTTCTTAAGACTCCAAAGCATGCAAAATGCTGAGTTAATTTTAAATGATGTATTTATGAAAGATCCATAGAGGGAAAAAAGTAAGAGACATCTATAGAAAACAATGTAGGTATTCTTAGAATTTTTCTTAGCTAAAATTATAAAGGCCATCCAAAAGGATGAGGGGAAAATGACCTAAGATAAATGCAAATAAGAATAGAGTACATACATTATAAAAATAGGGACTGAAAAATTTAAAGCACACAAAGTGATTGGGCAACTCAGAGAAACCCAAAAAAGGAAGAGTAAATTATATGTCAGGGAAGAAAATGCACAAGTAAGTACTAGATCAAATTTCCGAGAAAGACAGTTAAATTATATGTAATGTCAGAGATAATGAGGTATCTTCAATACTTATTCAATTTATTACCTATTGTCATCCAAGTAGAGCAATCATAAAATTCAAGAACCTAGAATGAACAAAATTAAGTGGGAATAGATACCCAAGTTATTAGAGCACTCACCCTCTCTTTAAATAAGTATGGAGATTTAGGTCTTCATTAATTACATTTCAGGACACAAAAGAACTATCAAACGTCACTGTAGGGTAATCATTAATAAATCATGAAGCTTTTATATCAATTCCAGAGATAAAAAATGTTTTATAACTTTTAATGTAGAAAATGATATGGTAGGAGAATTGAGTCCAACATGCAGCAATACATGAAACAAATGTTTTGAGTGAATTAAGAAAAGGGAACAATTGATTGACTAAGAAAAAATCAAGGAAAATTGGTCTCACTTCTTCATATTAATAGAGACAAATGAATTAAAGGAAATCTACAATACCTTTTTCTGTTGCTTTGAAAAGGGGTTATTTTTATTATAAGTATATTTACAAGGATTTTCATAACAATTTAAGAACATTTATGCATTGAATGATTTTTAATGTATTGGTTAGACACAGCAAAAAGTACAAGTCAATGGTGAAAAGTACATGCTCTCAAATTGGACTTCCCAAATTTGTTTCCTGTTTCATGCTTGGCTGTGTGATCTTACACAAGTTATTCAACCTCTCTTAGCTACACAGGATTATGTAAAATGACCCATAGCCAGAAGTCTTTGCTCAAAAATTATCTTTAATTATTATTTTAATCTTCATTTAATGTATACAAATACACTATAAAATACATCATATTTTCATTTTACAAGGAAAGAAAATTAGGCCTAGAGAAGTTACAAACTATATCCTAGGCTATTTAGGAATAGGTGATTCCACTTTAGGTCTCTTCCTATGATCTGACAGTATATTATTTCTTCAATAGTTTGCCAATTTGAAATTCGTTTTTAAGTTTAATTATTCTAATTTTAGTACTATTAAAGTCTATATGTATGGCATATATATGTATATATATGTGTGTATATATGTATATATGTGTTTATATATGTGTGTGTGTGTTTATATGTATATGTATCCATCTTTTCATTCCACTACATAATATCCTGTATTTTTCCTAAAATTAGGGTTGAAAAATAATACATTTTACTCAATGCTAACCAAATATAACTGAAATTTTACACTGGCTTAGATTCTTAAAACCATTTATACATCATATTTAAACATTTTATGTTTACCCCAGTAGTGACAATAAACATTATTTTTGTCTTTGCCATTTTTCTGCATTGTTGAGTGAAATACTACTGATGAATGTATAAACTACTCTTGTGAAAAAAATGAAGCCTTTCTATGTGGCTTTCATTAAAAATGTAGAGCATTGCTTATGAGGAACATTTGATATAAAGTCATGGGTATCCCTGAGAATCTCTTCTCTGCTCCCATCCCATGCTTCAACAGTTTCCACAGTAATAGCTTTATACATGCATTGAAATCTTGGGAGAATGCTGAATTCTAGAAATTCAGTTATCCTCCTGGCCTTTTAAATAAACTTAGAGTTATCTCAGAGAAAATTCACCTAAATAACTTGACTCTCAACAAAATGTACATGTGGCATATTTGCTGCTAAAAAACTCTGCAGAAATATAAACTGAGAATCTCAATTTTGATAAGTCTTTGGTGATTGTGAGACATCATATACACACTCAGATCCCCAGATCACACATGGCAAACAAAGCTTCAAAAAATGCTTTTCTACAGGGAACAAGTATAGGTTCTGGAATGAGGCCTGTGTTTGGAAGACATTTTATTCACCAGTTTCATGTTTGAATTTGCTCAGTCACATGCATTGAAGGTATTTATTTGTAAAATGGGGATGAGGGATGCTTCTCGTTTCAGTGTGATTTTGAGTAAATCAAATAGAAAAGATACCTGGAATAAAACAGGAAGGTGCCCAGCACTTCCTTTTCCTTTCTCTCTCTAGTCAGTTACCTAAGAGCCTCTCTTCTTTGACAAGATTTCAAATAATGTATAAGAAAATCAGACTAAAACTATTTCCAAAAAGGCAAAAGTTGAAATATCAGAAAAAACTCATTATGATATTAGTAATCACAACTAATAATTACTTGAATGGTGCTATGAGATAGGCATTGTGCCAAGTACTTTTCATCCATTACCTCATTTCAAATACATTAAATTACCTCATTTCAAATACATTAAATTATCGTTAGTTTTTATGTCAACGTGATTGAGCCAAGGGGTGCTCAGACATACGGCCAAAGATTGTTCTAGATGTGTCTGTGAGAGTGCTTCCAGATGAGATTAACATTTGAATCAGTAGGCCGACTAAAGCAAATTGGCCTTCCTGACATGGGTGGGTCTCATGCAATCAGTTGAAGAACTAAATAGCCTAAAGGCTAAGAGGGAACTTCTCCTACCTGACGGCAAGTGCTGAGACACTGTTCAGTTTTTATTCCCAGCTTTAGGACTTGGACTGAAGTAAGCTCCTCTTGTGTCTTAAGCCTGCCAGCTCTAGGACTAAAATTTATACCATTGGCTTTGCTGGTTCTTCAGCTCCTCAGCTGTAGGTCTTGGGCTTCTCAGCCTCCATAATCAAATGAGCCAATTTCTTATAATAAGTATCTTGCCACCCCCACCCAGTACAAGCATGCCCCTCTGCCCATCTGCCCATCTATCCATCCATCCATCCATCTATCTATACATATGCCCTGTTGGCTCCATTTATTTGGATATGCCTGACTAATACAGTTAGCTGTTATTACACCCTCAAGTTGTAGATATTATAGTCTTAAAGAGATGATGGATCATATAATAAAAAATACACATGATGGTGTTCAAGAAGTTCATGGAAAATACATATTATGAAATATCTATGCGTGAAGATCAAAAATTTTTGCACCAAAATAAACTTGTGTTAACTTGTTATTACATGTCTGACATGATCTAGTTTGAGGCACTAAAAAGGATAAGACATCAGTTAGAAAAGAGCTCCTAAAAGGGCAGCATTAATTCTGCTAAAATTAAAGCTAGAACAAACATCAAATTTATTGTGAAGCTTGGGTGAAAAAAATGGTGAAATCATTGACGCTTTAGATTAAGTTTATGGGGACAATGCCCCAAAGAAATCAGCAGTTTAAAAATTGATAACCCATTTTAAGAAGGGAAAATATGATGTTGAAGATGTAGCTTGCAGCAGCAGATGATTCACATCAATTTGCAAAAACAAAATTAATCTTGTTCATGCCCTCATTGAGGAGAACCAATGATTAATATAGCAGAAACGATAAGTGAATGACATAGACATCTCAATTGGTTCAACTTACACAGTGTTGACTGAAAAATTAAAGTTAAGTAAACTTCCCACTCAATTGGTATCAAAAGTATTTTGCCTAAATCAGCTCTAGACACAAGCAGGGATTTAAAAAGAAATTTTATACTTGAGAGGCTGAGAGTAGGAGAATCACTTGAAACCGGGAGGTGGAGGTTGCAGCGAGCTGAGATGGCGCTACTGCACTCCAGCTTGGTGCCATAGTGAGACTCCATCTTGGGGAAAAAAAAAAAGAAATTTTAGACAAGTAGGATCAAGATCTGGAAGCATTTTTTCAAAGAATTGTAACAAGAGATAAAACATGGCTTTACTAGCACAATCATTAAGAAAATGCATGATCAAAGCAATTGCTACCCTGAGGTGAAAGTGGTCCAAGACAAAGCAAAAGTGGGCCAATCAAGAGCAATGGTCATGGCAACAGTTTTCTTGGGATACTCAAGGCATTTTACTTGTTGACTTTCTAGAGGGCCAAAGAACCATAACATTTGCTTACTATGAGAGGGTTTTGAGAAAGTTTGCCAAAGATTTAGCAGAAAAATGCTCTAAAAACCTTCACCACAGAGTCCTTCTCTACCATGATGATAGTCCTACTTATTCCTCTAATTACATAAGGAAAATGTTTGGGGAGTTTTGATGGGACATCGTTAGGTATCCACCTTACCATCATGATTTAGCTTCTTCTGACTTAGTTTTATTTCCTAATCTTAAGAAACATTTAAGGGCAGCCATTGTCTTCAGTTAATAATGTAAAACGACAGCATTGACATAGTTAAATCCCCAGGACCCTCAGTTCTTTAGGAATGGAGTACATTGCCATATATGCATATCATATATATGTATGAGGAAATTTATTGAGGGAATTGGCTCATATGATTATGGAGGCTGTGAAATCCCACAATATGCCATCTGTAAGCTAAAGAATCAGGAAAACAAGCGGCATAATTCAGTTCACATCTGAAGGCTTGAGAAACAGGTGTGGGCTAATGAGGGACTGATGATATATAAGTCCTAGAGTCTGAAGGGCCAAAATAAAGGAGCTCTGATGCCTGAGGGCAAGAGAATTTGGATCTCCCAGCTCAAGAAGAGAAAGAGTATTTGCCCTTCCTCTGCCTTTTTGTTCTATTCAGGTGCTCAAGAGATTGGATGATGTCTTCCCACATTGGTGAAGATGGATCTTTTTTACTCAGTCTACTGATTCAAATGCTAATCTCTTCTAGAAACTCCTTCAGTGATATATCCAAAATAATGTCTTTCCTGCTATCTAGGCATCCCTTAGCCCAGTCAAGCTGACACATAAAATTAACCATCACAGCCAGTGGTAGAACTGGAACTAAGTCCATTCTGTTTATCCCCAATGTTTATACTTTTAACTAGTATACACTCATTAATCCACACACACCTCACTGCATCTGCCTTCCCACAGTCGAGGGGTTTGATTGTGCAGGGCCAGAGAGTTGCAGAAAAGAGTAGAACAGCTTGAGTCTGATACAGAGAAGAGCTCAAGTGTAATGACAAATGGTGATCGATATTATACTTTAGTATAGAGACAACATAGGGAGTGCTGAGGACTGTGGAGAACTTTTCTACTTCTTTCCAGTTTGAAGGGAGCTGCAAGCAGATAGCTCTAGTCAAGTCTAACAGTTTGAGAAGGTGGGTACAATGTTGCCAGCTATTTCAATTTCCAAAGAGGGACCAGAAATCAAAATTTTATAGAAACATATACACTTTTTAAATGTTAGAAAATTATACAATTTATCTTGAGAATAATAAAAACATATCTGTAGGTTAAATAGAGGCAGAGACTAAACCAGCACAAACAAAAGCACACAGATACACACACACACAGACCCCTATCCATCTACCTAATCATCCTTTACAGGATAGTACATTATAGTATTAGCTACATTATATATGTAAGGTGTAATTTGATTGATCAATAAGCAATTCTTTGTTCCACATATAGATTCTTAATTTTCAATATATGACATGCTGTTGGGAATCTATTAGGCTATTTATTAGGGTTGCATGTTAGGTGAGACAGATAGTCATATTCATGTCTTATTTCACTTAAATGTTTTCCAATGCATTGTGCATACACACAGCATATTACTTTTAGGGAACTACAACATAATACATGCCAAAAAATGATGTACAAATAAGTAAAATAAGAAATATGGGTGTGCCAGGGAGAGGGTAAGGAGCAGTAAGAATGAGCATCACAGAACTTGTTCTTGGAATGAGCATTCACTAAATTGATCACAGGAAATTTGACTTTTCAATAGTGACGAGATTAAAGCTCAAAGGTGATTGAAGCTCAAAGGTGAGGAAGGTGGACAAGGTTATTTGATGCCTGTAAAAGATCAAGTCATTAACAGTCACGCACACTGTTTACATGAATGACAATTACATTAGATTCTACTTATAGTCAAACAAAAAGAGCTGAGAAGTTTTTTTTAACCATTTCCCCACAATATTTGGCTTAAGAATACCTCTCAGCTCTTTTTGTTAGACTATAACTAGAAACCTTTTCCCCACAATATTCTTTAAAGATCAAGAAACTAAATACATAATAAAGGAATGGGAGGAAGGCCCCAAATACATATTATAATGTCCTGGGAAATAATTGCAATTATAATGAAGATGTAAATTGTTTTATAAAACCCTATATGCAATGCATATTTCATACAAAAGGAGCCTACTAAAGAGGAATGGCCCAGGGAATGTTGTGTTGAAAGGGAATATTTGTAGTGGAAAATAAATAACTTCAGAAGCAAAGGCCCTTGGGTAAAAGGAATCAATATTCCATGAAGCATTCAGCCTGAAAGATTCATACCCTCATTCCAAGCATCCTGGTTGTGTTTCTAAAAAGGGGTTCAAATAACATGTCTTCTGGTACCACCAGGTGTGCTTGTTAAAAATGCAGATTCCTAGGCCCATGTATCAATCAGAGTTTCGAAAGTAAGGGCCAGGAAATTCAATTTTAACAAGTAATTGTGATGATTTTTATGCGTTTCAAAATTAGAGAGTCACTAATTTAGAGAAAGAAACTCATCCTCCACTACCATCACAGAGGGAAGTCACATGCAATAACAGTTTCAGAATGTAGCATGGAAGATCCTGTATTAAACTTTAAAGCAACAATTATGAGAAACCTAATTTCTGTGTTAAACAACCTCTTGTAACACAGATAAGAGAAACAAAAATGGTAGCAGCAACATTAGAAACATTCTACTATTCAGAGGCAAAACTCAAAACTTTTAGCAACTGTTAGGGAATTCTCCTGTTTTTAGTAATTGCAGATATAATTTGTGAACTCTGTTCAACTGTCACATCTGTAGATACCAGGAAGTTAAAAGACTGTAGCAGACATATTTGGCCAGCTACCCAGAAACTACAGCCCTCCTCCCTTCAATACACACATCCTTTCTCCCTTAGTGAGAACCAGAATATGTTCCATTATCAGCCTCTTCTTGAGTAGAATCTATGCCTCTCCTTAACATCAGGGATGAATCTTTGTTATCCCATTCTAATCAAGATAATTATATTACCTTCATTAGTTATTAGTTGAGGAAAAGACACGAATAGAATTTTGATGGGCCCAGGCACAGTGGCTCATGCCTGTAATTCCAGAGCTCTGGGAAGCCAAGGTCAGGGGATTGCTTGAGGCCGAGAGTTTGAGGCCAGCCTAAGCAACACAGAGAGACCTTGTCTCTACAAAATATTTAAAAATTCACTGTGTGCCCGGTGCGGTGGCTCACGCCTGTAATCCCAGCACTTTGGGAGGCTGAGACGGGTGGATCACCTGAGGTCAGGAGTTCGAGACCAGCCTGGCCAACATGGTGAAACCCTGTCTACTAATAATACAAAAAATTAGTCGGGCGTTGTGGTAGGCACCTGTAATCCCAGCTACTCGTAAGGCTGATGCAGGAAACTCGCTTTAACCCAGGGGACGGAGGTTGTAGTGAGCTGAGATTGTGCCATTGCACTCCAGCCTGGGCAACAAGAGCAAAATTCCATCTCAAAAAAAAAAAAATATATATATATATATATACACACACACACACACACACACACACACACACATACACACTGTGTACAGTGGTGCACACGTGTAGTTTTAGCTATTTGGGAGGCTGAGGTGGGAGAATTACTTGTGCCTAGGAGTTCAAGGCTGAGATGAGTTATGATCCTGCCACTGCCTCTGTACCTCAGCTTGGGTGACACAGTGACACCGTGTATCTAAAAACTATGACGAATGAAGCAATAAAGAAAATCTGTGAGGAGCTTCTAAGAATAATCTCCTTTGTATTCTGGCTTCTAGACACTGTTTTGTGGGCTATGATGCTTGAATCTATGGTAACTCTTTTGCAAACATAAAAAAACAAGACGAGAGACAAAAATAAATACTATATTATAAGGATTGAAAAGAGAGAGGGATGAGGGGAGGGAGAGAAGAAGGAAGGGGAGAGAGAGGGAAGAGGGTGCAAGGGGAAGGGGAGGGGGAGGAAAATGGAAAGAGGGAGATGGAGGCAGAGAGGGAGAGAAAAAGATTGAGAGAAAGACAAAGAGAGATTAGAAAGAATTAGGGCCCTTGGTGGTATATATGAACCCCTGAGTTAACCCTTTAACTACTCTACCACATGATTGTGCAGGTCCTTTGGGCAATGAAGGACTCCTGTGGGTTTCTTCCTTTACTGACGGGATGTTTCTAGATAAAGAAGGTGACGTGGTCTCTTTTCCCTGTAAACACGCTTGTATCTAGGCCTCTTTGTAAACAGACTAATAATATTTGCTAGAATAAAAGGTCCTGACATCTAGAATGTTCTTAGCAGGATGTGCCCAGCTAAGAATTATTAATAACAAATAAACCCATAATCTGTGGAACTGTGAGGCATATGTCCCTCAAATATACTGCCTAAGTCAAAGTCTAAAATGAAGCTATTTCATAGTCTAACCACTTCCTTGCTTATAAGGTAATATGTGAACCTTATTTGAAAACTCTTTGATTACTGTGCATGTCCAATGCAGGAAGAAAAGTCCTGGGGAGCCGCACAGGATGTCCAAGACTTCTACCTGATTTGTTTGATCCTCCTTTTCATCTGCATCCTCGATATTATTAATAATGGTGATACTGGGTAAAACCTTTACTTCAGATGATTCTGATTTGATAATCTTATCCTTTATATTGGCTCATCCTATTAAGTAAGAGAATAATTTTTTGTTGTTTTTCATGTCATTTCAAATTGTGTCTTCTGCATATCAATTGTGATTCTTCCCATGGAAAGTAATGAGATTGCAATAGCCAGTGAAAGAAGTTAAGCATTAATGAGACATACAAGATAAACAAGGAAAACAAAAGAAGCAGAGAGAAATCTAACTGAGGAACTTCTCTAGCTAAGAATTTCATCAATAGCCAGTAAGAAGACATTGTTAATTATCACAATAAAGTTATACCTATATTTTTAAAAATTTACTATTAGATATTCTTTGGGTTTTCTCCCATCAAGCAAACATGTGATCTATTTTTCTCCA
The DNA here is from genome assembly GCF_000001405.40 of Homo sapiens. NCBI lineage: Eukaryota > Metazoa > Chordata > Mammalia > Primates > Hominidae > Homo > Homo sapiens. The sequence continues at coordinate 33,697,801 of NC_000023.11, forward strand.
ACTTACACAGATGGGTCCCTATTGTTTTGACCAGAGATGATGGTACCATATCTGGATACGTGACAAAAGGTGAGCCTATCAGTTACTCTTCTCTGTGAAATTACAAATAGGGCTAAGAGTGTAACAAATCTTTGTCCATTGCCGGACATGAAACATGCAAACTCTTTTATTTTCTGCTATAGGACTTAACAAAGATAATTGGTATACTGGGGTGGGGGAAAGCAGGAATGCTGTGAGGAGAAATGAGCAGTGGACAGGCAGTTCAAGCAATTTTGAGAAAGTTTATATTTCATACATTCCCACAATTCTAATACAGCTATATATATATATACAACAAAATGGTATAAGATAGAATGTGGTTAGTTAGTCCAGTATTGTTTCAGTTCTCCTCAACAAGCCATTTTTTTCATATTAAACACTGATTTTTAAAAAGTCATTTCAATCATTACACTAGAGACCTGACATTTGAGTTTATTTATGTGGGAAACCAAATAAGTTGATCAAAGCAATTTCTTCTTCCAACCAAGGACAATTCCTGTTTGTATGAGCTAGCCCATGCATAGTGATTCTGACTCACAATCCAAATGTACAGGAAGCAACTACCATTTGCAGGTTTCCATTAATCTTTGCACATATTTGCAAAATATGAAGAAATAAAAGTATTTTGTATAAGAATGCTCTAAACATTTGTGTATGTGTGAGAGAGAGAAAGATTTAAGTAGATCTTTAAGTTGGAAGAATAATGCTAGAAGCTGCAAGTAGAGACAGGAGAAGCATTAAGATGATAGACTAGTTTCTGCTAAAATCAAATATTGTGGTATTGCAAAATTCAATTTATTGCATTAAAATAGACTTTAGCTTTACTCAACATCAGAGAAATAACACAATGTCCTCTCTCAGCCTTTCATTTATCTCGTTGGTAGAGAAAATTACTTAGGCGACTCCATTTGTCCCATTTTGAATAATTCTCAACTTTAGAGAAATATACTCGTGTCCCAAGTCCATGACTGATTTACAGTTAAGTTAGCTCCTTAAAATAAGGGCATAAAAAGAATGCAAAAGGTAATCCAGGATTTTAATCATGATATAAATTTTAAACGAAAAATGTGAAAGAAAATAATTTAGTAGAGCAAAATAGAAAAATAGAAAAACAAAAAGTGAATAGAGTGACGAAGAAAAACATAAGTAACATATATGAAGGCTAATTTCTTGTATCTTGACCTTGTAGGTTTTGAAACATTAACTGCAATTGAATGCATCGCTATATTTGCATTTATTTTAATTTCAATACAACAAAGGTGATGTACTCTATATTTTTGTACATTTTAGAAAAACACTCATAGAATAGTCACCATATTATGCCTCTGTTATTTAGAGAACAGTTCAATCATAGCTAATATGGGCCCGTCTTTTCATTATCTCCAAATATTATTGGACAATGATAAAAGTATAAAGTGGCATTAACCAGTGAGAATGACATTAGAGATATTATACGTATGATTTAATTTTACACATTTTAGCTACACAAAATGTACAACAGAGTTATATGTGCAGTGCTTGAGAGAATTAAATCTAATTTTAAACTACACAAAATTTGAGTAAATATGCTAAATAATTTATAAAATTAAAATCCTCTTTTCCCTGCAGCACTTTAAAATTCCATTCTGCATTTAAGAAAAGCATGGAATAAGCTCCCGATATTGATGTCTCGTAACCCAAGATCAACATATAAAGATAAAGTGAACAGTAATTCTTTAATGACGTATCCTGAACATGCAAATACCACACCCCTACTTTTATTCTGTACTTCTTCTAAATTTTACTTGAAACCTTTCTTTGTTGAGAGCCACAATCATCTGATGATCATCCATACCTTTCAATATTTGATTTATGAGGCTTACATATTTTATACAAACTTCCAGTGCCGGTATGTTTCTCAATAGTTAGTACCATTTTGGGGGTCCCTAGAAAAATTCCATACCAAAAAAAGGATTAACTAGCAAGAACTTCAGAGATATAGTAGGGCTCTTGTTAATCAGCCACAAGTAAAAGCTGCAACACAATAGAGATAACTCTCTAAGACTTGCCTAGGTCAAAACAATTGAGCAAACAAACAACAACAAAAAACCTTCTTCCCTGCCACACTTCAAAATTCCATGTCAATTTCTACTTCCTCCCACCACAATATCTTATCCACCCCTATATCGTGACATGGAAGTTGGGAAGGGGAGAAACATCAGGAGAAGCAGTATAGTAGTTCAAACCACTGTGATCTTTATTTTTTTTTTTTTTGTCCTGAGGAAGTTCCTTGCTATCTTTCATGAGCTCTGGCAATCTTTAGAAAGTTGGTTTATAAGATTTTAATGGTATAGTCTGTAATCTACATCTTTGGATTTAGATTTCTTGCCCATAAAAGACTTTACTGAAACAATCCCACCTATCAAGTAGGATCTACTAGGATAGTGGGAGGAAAATGTACTTAAGTACTTAAGAGCACAGGCTTGAACTGAGTTTGAATCCTAGCTCTATGACTTAATAGCTGTGAAACTTTAGAATAAACAATTCGTTTGTTCTATATATCAACTATTTCTCTGTAAAAATGGGGGGATCAATAGTATCTAAATCATATAAGTGAAGATCACGTAAGATAAAAGTGAGAAAGTGCTATGAAAAGTACCTGAAAAGTATTATGAAGACAACATGAAAACAATAAGGGAACGAAGGTTTTCATATAGTGTGTATATTCATCATGCATCAAGGAGAGAGTGTTATTTAAAGAGCTTTCTGTTATCTGTGACATAAAATTTAATGTTGGAAGACAGATCCTGAAATCTTTCTTTGGAGAGATGGCCCAACCTAATATGGACTACTTCTAACTGAGAAATTAAGTATATTGGTGAAAAACTATAAAGTGGATTTTCTGGTTTCCATTTGTTGGAACCAGGGAAAGCTATTATTTTGTCTCCATATTTTTGGAAAGCCAAAAGGAACTCCCAATACGAAAGGGGAGAGTAGGCTTCAGCAACAGGGTAGTGGACTGCAAACTAAGAGGTGAGCTTTAGGTGATGGGGTATGGACAACTGACTTCAGGAGTAGAAGTATCTTATATCTCACTCTACATGTTCTCATCCTTGGTTGCAATTACTTTCAGTTATTCTTAGATCTTCATCAAACATTACAGCCTGGTGTTATCTGTAATGTGAAGAATGAAAAGAGAGTCTGTGTCCATGCTTGGAAAAAAAAAAAGCATTTGGGGAAGAAAATAGAGCAGTCTAGAAAAACCTTGACAAGAAGGGAAAGAACATGGCCAACAGAGAAGCCCGGAGTAGCAGACTGAAAAAATATGTGACAAGCAACTAGTAAGACAGACTTGTTGGAACCTTGGGCATTTCTCAAAATTATTAAGGGTGTACAAACTTAATAAAAGATAGGAAGCAGACTTCCTGCAATCATATGGCTAGAGAATGTATGGGAGAGTATCCTTTGAATTTGGGTACTAAATGCAGGTTAACCTCCAAGGCTGCCAAACTTGAGGATACTGCATGACAAATGAACAAATAAGTGCAGATTGGAGGGATAGTACAATGTTTAATCCTGTTGGTGAATTTTCATACCACACAAACCAAAATCAACATGTGGAAAATGTTGCATAATCATATCAAAGTTAAATGTAAATTATATTCAGGTTACCCATAGTTTGGGCTTCTCTATACCATTGCCCTTCTGTGAATAAAAATAATTGAAGTAATGAATAGAACGAAGGACCATTTAGAAGCTCCTCACATGTGATGATATTATAGAACAAAAAGTTTAGATTTTCACATCATATACTTAGTAGTCCAGGGGGAACACAAAATAAGAAAGTGAACATTTGAGTATCACACATGACTCTATAACTATTAGAAATACTATAAACTCCATTGTGATTTAAACGTGTCTAATTGAACATACATATTTAACAGCTCTCCCCAAACTCTAATAGAAGTAAAGGAAAAATCATGGCAAATATTCAAAAGGATACACACACAAAAAAGAAAATAGATATTAAAATGTCAACAAAATCTTGGGAGCCAAAACAAATTCAATAGACTTCAATTATAATTACCAATGAAAAATAGAAAAATGATAATTACATATGGGGCAAGGAAGCAGCATGAGAAATTAAGAGAGGACAACAAGAATCAAGCTAATTTGCATCACAGAACCTTGACATGTCTCAAAAATTCGAGGAAACATGTACTCTGAAACCATGGACATAAATGGGTTAAGTTAAATATATGAATATTCAGAAGTGTGTATAAGGACCAGCTCAGTTTCAAATTCCTTTCCCAACTTCACACAACCGCAATTCACCCATTTCAATAGAAGACAGGAGGTTAATTCTGTTGAACCAGAGAGGACTTGCTTTCAGGAAACTGAGCACAGTTGAGGGAATGGTAGAGGTACTGGACTGAAAACAGGAGAATGATATAAATGAAACTGGTGAAACGAGTCTCCATTCTTGCTTGACTCCTGTCCCCTATGCTTGAGCAGGCAGCCAGATGGTTTCCCTCTGGGTAAACAGATGTCCCAACAGAAAAAAACGAAACCTACAGACATCTGGGAACCTTCTGGGAAAACATCTAGGACTACACCTAATCACTTTACAGTAAACTAGACTTATTAACAAGACCTACCCACATACATCACATACATAGAGATTTTAATCAGCGTTTTGTTTCCTAGGTCTTCAACTTAAATTGGTAGCCAGAGAAAACCAGGTGTCTGAGGAAAGCCTCACCTTGAAACAATGATCAAATCAAACAAACAGTAAATATACTTGGAATAAAAAAAAAAGACAATGTCGGCCAGGTGTGGTGGCTCATACCTATAATTCCAGCAATTTGGGAGGCTAAGGCAGGAGGATCACTTGAGTCCAGGATTTCAAGACCAGCCAGGGCAACATAGTGAGACCCTGTCTCTAGAGAAACTAAATAAAATTAGCCAAGTGTCATGGTGTGTGACTGTAGTCCTACCTACTCAGGAGGCTGAGGTAGGAGGATCATCTGGGCCTCGGAGGTAGAGGTTGCAGTGAGCCATGATCATGCCACTGCAGTCAGCCTGGGCAACAGAACATGATGCTGTCTCAGAAAAAAAAAAAGAAGAAGAAGAAAAGAAAAGAAAGAAAATACAATATGAAAATTGAAGAATGCTTTAAAGTTATTTCTAATGCATGCAGATATACAAGATATGGCATACCAGAAAAGAACAGACTATAAAATGAAATGCTGATAAAGCTAAAATAACTTCTTGTATGTTCAATATATGATAGCAAAAATAAGAAAAATAAAATCAATAGAAATGTTAAAAGGTAAATATGAGGAAGTTAGGATAAAACATAAAAAGAAAAATGGGAAACAATAGAGAAAGATAAGAAACTTAGACTATATATACAGGTATAAAATATGCAAATAATGGAACTTACAGAATGAAAGGAAAATATGTTGGGCAGGGAATTTACTAGGAAATAATAAAAGAAAATTGCCATGAGTTTGTAGATTGAAAGTTGCCCAGAGGGTCAAGCAGGATGAATGGAAAGAGGGCCACACAAAGTCACAAAATTGCGACATCAGGACACTGGGAATAAAAGTTACAACTGTAGAGAGATAATCAAAAATCCAATGCCTTTCTTCTCCCTTTGAAGCTATGGACACTCTAGCTTCTATGCTTTCTTACAAAATAAAAGAATAAGCATCAACTATTTAAAAAGTGATCTTCCCAAAATATTGCTTAAAGATTACATATAATGCTTCCAATTTTATGATTCCAAAGAAAACAACATAACTCAGAATTTTGTAGTTAATCCCCCTTTAAATAAAACAACTCTTAATGGCCCGTGACCATAAGAGGTATTTTTTACCTCAGTCCTTTTCCCCTACTTCTTACTCTGTGACAAAACTGATACCAAAACATATAAATTATTTCAACTATTTTCTTCAGTGGGAAAATCTGGCCTATTTTACCTTTTTTTGCATTTTTACTTGGCAATACTTTTGTGTGTTGGGGGGGCTCTTTCTTAACTTTTTTTTTTTTTAATTGAGACAGAGTCTCGTTCTGTCACCCAGGCTGGAGTACAGAGGCATGATCTCAGCTCACTGCAACCTCCACCTCCCAGGTCCAAGTGATCCTTTTGTCTCAGCCTCCTCAGTAGCTGGGATCACAGGTGCATGACACCACACCCAGCTAATTTTTGTATTTTTAGTAGAGATGGGGTTTCACCATGTCAGCCAGGCTGGTCTTGAACTGGGCTCAAGTGATCTGCCCACCTTGGCCTCCCAAAGTGCTGGGATTACAGGCGTGAGCCACCATGCCCAGCCTCTTTTTTAACTTTTATTTTAAGTTCAGGGGCACAAGTATAGGTTTGTTACACAGATAAACTTGTGTCATGGGGGTTTGTTGTACAGATTATTTCATCACCCAGGTATTAAGACTAGTACCCGTTAGTTATTTTTCCTGATCCTCTCTCTCCTCCCACCTTCCACCCTCCACCCTCCAAAAGGCTACAGTGTGTGTTCTCCTCTATGTGTTCATGTGTTCTCATCATTTAGTGCCCACTTAAAAGTGAGAACATGCTAGTTTTCTGTTCCTGTGTTAGTCTGCAAAGGATAATGGCCTCCAGCTCCATCCATGTCCATGCAAAGGGCATAATCTCATTCTTTTTCATGGCTGCGTAGTATTCCATGGTGTATATGTACCACGTTTTCTTTATCCAATCTATCATTGATGGACATTTAGATTGATTCTATGTCTTTGCTATTGTGAATAGTGCTTCAAAAAACATACACGTGCATGTGTCTTTATAACAGAATGATTGAAAGAAAGTGCGGCGATTCCCCAAAGACCTAAAGACAAGTGCATTTCGACCCAGCAATCCCATTACTGGGTATATACCCAAATAAATACTTGACAATGTTTGATGTCTAGATATGTACACATTTTCTCCTCATAATTATCAAATTCCCATTTCTCAATTACTATGATTTTGTATATCTAATTTTGCTCTTATCAGCTTGAGAAAATCTTATCTGCCTTTCTATTCAAGAGATTCAAAACTATTTGATATTTTTCCAACATATGGAAATATGGCCATCTATAACCACTGATGTCATTTCATCTTCAATGTGAGAAGTAATGAGTGGCAATTTGCTCATAGAGCTTTAATCTGAAGACCAAAATTTACTTAGACTGATGCAGAGGTGGCACAAAAACAACTGTCTGCAGTAAACTGAATGTATTAAATACTTCCTAAGCCACTATTCTCTGACCAAAGCATCTCTGTAAATTTCCTCATAAGTGGGACATAAAGCAGCTATAGAAAGCTTTAATTCTAAGGTTTTCTGTTTGAAGTAACAAAAACACAAAACATATAATGGAACAATTCCTTACACTAATGTTTAGCTGTACAAAAGTACAAATGGCAAGCCACCAGGTAAGCAAAGATCTGATTTTATCAAAATAAAGTTGAAATGGTAGTGTTCAGTTACAAGAAACCTACTTTCCTAATGCCACACCTAGATGCATGGTCTGAAAATAGAAATGAAGATTTTAAATTTAATTTATCCCAGAAAATTTGGGAAGTATAATTACCCTATCTGTAGCTACAAAGCAGGCTCATAGACAGTTTCCCAAATAACATGTAATTTTTAATAGTGAAAATTTCAACAAGTCTAGAAAGTAGAAAGGGACCTGAAATAAACAAAGATAGATACACAGAACTCCTAGGTTTAGGTAGTTTTCTTATCATGAGCTCCAGATGTCTTCATTCTTAGTCCTGGGACTCGCTCATCTTTTTGTGCTATCGCATCAGGATAAAGATGGGGAACAAATTAACAGAGAAAAGAAGCACCAGTGTAATGGCTCTGCAGCCAGATAATGCAGAGATAGCAAGTCATGTTCACAGTGCAAAAGGACAAGCATTTTCTAAAATAGGAATTCTAATCCCACTGGGTTTCTCTGTGTGTGAATTTAACCTTTAGAATTAGAATTTTTGAACCCCTGGAAATGAACTAATGCTTTGTGTAAACTACATAAAACAGATGGAAGTGTGTTCCAGGCAGCACATTTAAATATAAAGACCATTTCTGTACCTGCAAAAACTGCTGCGCTGCCTCAAAGGATAAATCCAAGTTTAACATCGCAAGTGAAGCTAGCCCACAGCACAGCTCAAATTCAGAGAAGACAAGTACTGTGATTCCTAAACATTTACATTATCACAGAAACAAGAAGTATACACTTGGTCTAACATAAGGACTAGTTTGTTTTTTTCCTAAAAGTGTTAAACTGGACCTTCATTGTGCTTCAAACATACTTTTCACTTGTTTAATCTCTAGGTTAATTACAGATTTTTTGCAGTTTTCAGTACTGATGATTAGCAATAGAAAAATAGGTAGCTACTTCAAAAACTATTTGAGTTCAATAATTTTCATTTATTTTTGTTTTAAAAGATAAATATTTGATAGCTAAAAAATAATGCTTTATTATGTCATAATCATAATTTAAAATGTATATTTAATGCTATTTCCTAAAGAGAGGGGCATTAATGTTAAAACAAAGTTAGTAGCTATCTACATAATGTACCTGAAAATTCACGTCTCGTTAACTACCAGACCTGTTAGAATTGTGCTAACTGTAATTACAGTGAGAACTTGACTGGAGATAAGCTAGCAGCAAAAGGCAGAATAAAATTATAGAGGAACAGAGTTAAAATTCAGTTTGTTTTCCTCATAGAAAGATAATATTCAATTAATGATGGAAATTGGGCCTGTGTTAATCACGGCATTGTATAAATCCCCCAAATCACAACATTAAAACCTAAGCTCAAGAAAGGGGTAAGAAAGTGAAAGAACACAAGGTATCTTAGGTGGCAGGAGATGAGACATCTCTGTTCTCATAATAAATCCTAAATGGCACCCTGAGATAAATACATTACCTCTCTCTGGACAACATGGACTACGTACTGACATGCAAGGGAACTAGAAGGTGACATTTTTTGCAGCTACACACGTGTGTTATTTTGATTTTCTTTATACATTTACAAAAAAAATCTATTTCTAATACACACATTTCTGTATCTTAAAAGGTATAAGATGGTAGACATTCAAAGTTTATTTTCCAAGTATTTTTAAAGCTAAGCTTATACCTAAAGTTAGAAATGTCTCCATTTTCCTGCTGAGTCACACAGTGCAAAGACTAGCCTTTTGCCAGGTTTATTGAAGCATTTTAAATAATTATGGAAGATTTTCTTTCATCTAAAAATTACAACTCATTATCTGTTTTCCCTCAGTACTTAATCGCAACCTGTAGTACTAATTTTAACCCCTCATATTATTTTAATAAAACCCAACCACAAATTTTAGTGTAAGAGGTGTATAGATTTTTTTAATGAAAACACCTGATGACAGTCTCGTCTCTACTTCATTAGATTCACAAAGATCTATAACTCCAAAAGTTTAACAAAAAGAGGCAAGTAAATATCAGAAAAAAGTATCTATTTCAATCTTTTTAAGTTAATGACTTTGTGTTTAATGTCACAATTTTATATACCAAAGACTAACACCGTATTAAACTAAAAACAGGTGTCATAGGCTATGTAGTGTACGTGTGAAAAGATGTCACATGATCTGGCAAATACCACCTTGCTCCCTCTGTCTGCCACACCATTTTTGTGAGTTGCTGCTGGCTGAAGGTTTCCAAAATCCCAACAGAAATTAGTATTTGATATCTGAGAATTGGAAATCAGAATTCCCAGGAATGTTCATAAATTTCTAAAATCCTAAGTTACTCCTAACATACTCCCAATGTTCTACATTATTATTACTAAAAATAAGTTACTCCTAACATGCTTCCAATATTCTACATTATTTTTACATATTGGTAGGGATATATACAAACTATGATTAATACATTTTAAAAAATTAAGTTTACAAGGAAACATAGCTGATAGGAAATGTTAAAACATTGAACATGTTAGTGAGTAGTATTGGATAGGATTTGATTAGCTAATATTCAGACTTCCTGGCAATATTAGTGTCAAAATCACTACACAGAATCATGGATTGAAATCACCAATTTGAGAATTTTTTAGTTCCCAAACTTACTATTTCTGGGAACATCACTTATAGGATTTTAATCAAGTATACTATGCATATAAATTATTAATGCTTATTTTATTGGCTGGAATGATGCATTGTCAATAGCAGACATTCAAAAACACACTTTTAAAACATGACAATAACTGAAAGTAAGATTGAATGATTACGTTGTCACCATTCTTCTATATATATTCTGAACTTGGTTCCCAGTAATGTCAACCTTGATTTTTGACTGACTTGGAGTCTGTGCTTCCTGATTTTGCTTAATTTCCACTTGACTTTGGTGGATTCTGAAGTTTCAAACTTGTAATGTTTTTCTGTTCACTTCTAAGCTGCAGTTCTCTCATGGGGATAATAGTACATTATTCCTGTGTTCTAAAGCTCCTGATTGATCTTTCTCATTATTCCAGACTCAGAAAAAAATGTATATTTCTGAAGAAATGTTAGGAAGCAATTCCCACATGGAAACACCACTGAAAATTACTTGTGAGTTATTGAAGAACACGTGTGTAGGTTATTCACCACATTAGAGGGTTTAAGGCCAGCCCTGAAGATGAACTTTCAATCACAGGATTCAATCATAACTCGGCCTTACCTCCATTACAGAGAAGAAGTATTTAGAAGAAAGGAGGTTACCATTTGAAACTAAATATTTGTTTATATTAGGTTTCATTTTCAATATTAGTTTTAATTTCTTAATACATAATCCATATTTCTTTGAAAATTGAAACTCTGTGTAGATAATAGGATAAAATAGTATTGCAGCACTTATAACCTCACTACCTATAGATTGCTCACAATTACTTCCAGGCAATCCCTCTCATGTGTACACTTGATGTTGTACTATTTATGCACACATGCAATATGTTATGCATGTTGATTCATCAGCAATTTTGTCAATAAATTTATAGAATATATCAATTGTTTTTATGATTGTATTATATTCTATTGCGTAGACAACACTATTACTTATTGCTGTATATTTACATGTTTTCTAATTCATCATTATAGAAATCTTCAAGAAACCTTCTTGGGCCTGCCACCTTTTGTATTTTGCAAACTGCTTTTCAATATTTTCTGGCCTTGCAATAAAATACAATTTATGTAAGCATTTTTAACATAATAAAACTGTAATGTTTAATAATTTCTTGATTTGTATTCCTGCCCTAGTTATGCTTGTTTATTGTTCCTCATATCAAATGCATCACTTTTTTGTGGTGAGGGTTTATTTTAAATTTGACAATTTATGTATAAATAATAAAAAATCATGTTTGATGGAAAGCTGGATCACTTTACTCTTTTAATGTCAATTTACTTAATATAGATTTAAGAAATGTGGATTCTTAATATGGATTAATAAATGTAAATATTTTACATCATACTATATTTAGCAACTAAGGTTAATATCTAAAAATGATGAAATTTAAATAGTGATAATTCTATTTCTGGGTGCTAACTTCATCCTATCGCTTTAGCATACATTATTGCAGAACTGTATGATATACAAGAATAACTTCATTTTTTGACAAAAGACAGAGGGCCATATTTGTATGAAACAACACAAACCGTAAATTACCATATTTATTTAGGCATCTGGTGCCAATGAAAGTTATTTATAACTATAGATTAATCAGTAATAACATTTTTAAGATGCCTGAGCATATGTTTAATAACTCAGGTCTGGGCTGTCATGAAACTTTTATTGCCTATAAGAAATGCTAGTAGTTTTCCAGGATATAAACTTTTGCTTCCTAGAGAGTAGAGCACATTATGAACATGTTTTTAATAGGACTTCATTTTCTGATGATGGCAATAATACAGATGTGCACTCTCACTTTTTCTGCCCTAGGCCAGACACCTTTGGATATTACAGATGTTTTATTTTAGAAAATTTTTCAACTGACTTTAAAAGTAGATTATACCTAATTAAAATGCAGATCTTCTACTATTTAAAAAATTTAAAAATAATGGTGCATAATGGAACAAATAAATGCTTTGTGAGGTAGGAACGGAAAGAACTGAAAAGGAGGCAGTTTAATAAACCCCTATGGAGAGTGATGTGGATCCTATATACAGGGCCCCTAGATGATAAGAACTTTCCAATCTAGGGAGCATTCAATAAGAAAATGCTTTTAGGAGGCAAGTGTTGATTCTAGGTCAATGAGGAAATATAAACGGGAATAAACGTGTTCATCACAATATTATATCATCCAAGTTTACCATTTCATCTATGTCATAATAATGATGGATCTGACAGCCAAGTATATAAGGGATAGATCTAGTACAGAAGATTAAATTTTTAGTGAAGTCTTCTTATTGTAATTTTTCCCAGGCCTAAAGTTAGTTTATTTCAGAACACATAACTGATATATTTTACTTTGGTTTTTAAGTGTTACAGGTTGTGTTCACTGGGAATCCAACTATGATATAAAGTTTAGAATGTTTATTAAGGAGTTCCCTGGGGCTCAACACTTCTAGAGAGAAGAGGAAAGAAGTAGGAGTGGACACAGAAAAGTCAACTGAACCTTTAGCCCAACAGCAGCTTCTGCCAACCCTATGAGAAGCTCTGGAGCTAGAATTGCCCTACAGAATAGACTAAAATTTAACTGAGATAAAATGGCCTTTATATGCCCTCATAGATAAGTTCCTGTATGAGGTCAACCCAAGAAAGTCCCATGACCCAGGGCATTTCTCTTCAACTGAGGCGGTCCTCAAAAGGGCTAACAACCAAAGTCTGTCTACCAACAGTACTTCCATCAGTTTGGGTAAAATGTCCTTCTATGAACAGAAATCTGGGCAGTGCATCACAGCATCTACCATATTTAGTTTATTTTGCTCAAAACAGAACATGTTTCTAAATCATGGTTAGCATTTTTTTTCTCAGAATGACTTCAAAATAATGATAGATGAAACCCATTCATAGTTTTCTGACTACACTCTATATGGTTGCCAGAAGTTTTTAATCTATTACTGATGTTTCTGAAAGAATGTTGAATACCATGTAAAAAGTGGGTTTTTTTTTTTTTAGTATGCACTCTTTACAGTAAAACACTTTGGACTATACCCCTAAAATTGGGGAGATATATATATATCTATATATATCTTATACATATTAATATAACATACATTTATATGGCTTATATATATAGCTTATGTATTTATATATTGTATATAACATGTGTATCAGCATATTTATATTTTACAAACCTTATTAGTCAAAAAGGTAAGAGTTTTTTAAGTGGCGTAATTAAAGAAAAATGAAATTTCTGTTTTTTTTCCTATGGCACAAATACTACTTTTGAAAATCAGCAATCTGGGTCCTGCCTTGCTTCCAAAAACTACCTTTGAAACTAATACAAGAAGACCAGCCTTTTAAGATAGCTCAGGAATACAATACTTCATCTTAAATAAACAACTTTCAAAAAAAAATCAGAGCTTGATCTGTATCCTATTTCACTGTTAGTTACACGATGCTATACCTTGTGCTTTGCCATACTGACATTTCTCATTTTTTATCATAAAGCCTTGCATGAATATTCATTTTTTCTAGCTTCTGCACAGAAAAAGAATAATCAGAGTAAACAGACAACCCACAGAAGAGAAAATATTTGCAAACTATGCATCCAACAAAGGACTAATATCTAGAATCTACAAGGAACTCAAACAAATCAGCAAGCAAAACAAAAACAAATAATCCCATCAAACAGTTGGCAAATGACATGAATTGACATTTCTTAAAAGAAGATATACAAATGGCCATCAAACATATGAAAAAATGCTCAACATCACTAATCACCAAGAAAATGTAAATTACAACCACACTGAGATACAACCTTACCCCAGCCAGAATGGCCATTATTAAAAATTCAAAAAGCAACAGATGTTAACATGGTTGTGGTGAAGAGGGAACACTTTTACACTGCTGGTGGGAATGTAAATTAGGACAACCTCTATGGAAAACAGTATAGAGATTTATTAAAGAACTGTATCTACCACTTGATCAATAAATACCATTACTGAGTGTCTATGCAAAGGAAAATAAGTCACTATATCAAAAAGACACTTGCAAATATGACACCTGAAGATATATTTATCACTGTGCAATTCACAATTGAAATATATGAAACCAAATTAAGTGCCCATCAACTGATGAATGGATAAGGAAAATGTGGTATATACATCCTATGGAATACTACTCGCCCATAAAAAGAAGTAATAATGTCTCTTACAGCAAGTTTGATGGAACTAGAGGCCGTTGTTCTAAGGGAAGTAACTCAGAAATGAAAAACCAAATACCATATGTTCTTACTTACATGTGGGAGCTATGCTATGAATATGCAAAGGCACATAGAGTGGTATAATGGGCACTGGATACTGAGAAGGGAAAGGGTAGGAAGAAGGTGAGGGATAAAAACCTGTATATTTGGTACAGTGTACATTACTTGGGTGACAAGTGCACTAAAATCTCACACTTCATCACGATATAATTAATCTGTGTAACCAGAAACCATTTATACCCCTAAAGCTATTAAAATCAAAAAGTGTTTCTTTCTATTTTCATCATCTTTGCCCACATCCATCATACTCAGGTTCCCAAACATTATGCTTCCTTTTTAGTCACAAACTCATTTGGAGAAAAACAAGCAACTGGATTAAAAAAATAGGCAAAAGACTTGAATAGACATTTCTCCAAAGACAACATACAAATGGCCAATAGGTATATAGATGCTCAACATCACAAATTATCAGGAAAATGCAAATCAAAACCACAATGAGATATCACTTTATTTTTGTTAGGATGGCTATTATCACACACAAGAACAAATAAGTGGTGGAAAAGGTGTGGAGAAATTAGAAATTTGAACCCTTATACACAGTTGATGAGAATGCTATATGGTACAGCCACTGGGAAAAACAGTATAGAGGTTCCTCAAAATATTAAAAATGATATTACCATATACTGCAGCAATCCCACTTCTGGGTATATATCCAAATAAATTGAGGTCAGGATCTTGAAGAGATGTTTGTACTCTCATGTTCATTGCAGCACTGTTCACAATAGACAAGATATGGAAGCAGTCCATATATATATATATATACACACACATATATATGTATATGCACATATGTACATATATGTATATATATATATAGAGAGAGAGACAGAGAGAGAGAGAGAGAATGGAATACTATTCAGCCTTTAAAAAGAAGGAAATTCTGCCATTTGTAACAACAACTTGAGGACATTATGCTAAATGAAATAAGCCAGTCTCAGATAGAGATTCCACTTATATGAGTGTTCTAAAATAGTTGTATTCACAAAAGCAGAGAATAGAATGGTGGTTGCCAGGAGCTAAGGGAAGGGGAAATGGGGAATTGTTTTTCAATTGATGTTAAGTTTCTGTTAGGCAAGATAACTTCTAGAGATCTGATGTACAAATGTATTACCTGTAGTTAACAATACGGTGTTATGCAGTTCAAAATATTAAAAGGATAGATTTCATGTTAGGTGCTCTTACTAAAAAAAAAAAACAAAAATATACCTTAGAAACACAAGGATATTTTTGGAGGTGATGTACATGTTTTGTACCTTGATTGTGGTGATGTTATCATGTGTGTATGCATATGTCCAAATTCATCAAGATTTAGACATTAAATGAGTCCAATATGGTATGTCAATTACACCTCAATAAATTTAAAACATTTTTTAAAGAAGAATGTTATAGTTCTGATGTTGGCTAAAATCAATCGGTTTGTTAACAGCAGCAACAAATTAGAACACAGACCTGCTAGGTCCCCAAATTTTTAGTTTGGAGGTACTTCGATAACATCATGTTGGAAATCCGTTTTACTAAGTTTGGTAAGAGGTGTGCTGTGAATGTTCAATAGGTGACTTATTAATTGCTGTTTAAAACCAGTAGTACTGAAGCCTTAGTGTAATCTTTGCTTTGATGTCATGCCATTCTACTCCTCTACATATGACCTCTGAAATCTTATTAAATAAAATTTTACTATGAGTCAAAAGTATACTTCAGCGGTATATTAATATAAGAGGATAATAAGTATGTAAAAAAATACAGAGAAAGAAAGGATGGGAAAACAAGAATATGAAAATATATTTCAGAAAATAAAATGAGAAAATACATGTTTTTTTCAAGTGATGTGATGTGGTGGAAACAGCACATCTTTGTGAGGAGGTGTTGGGAATAAGGAAGGAGACTTTGAAATTCCCTAGTTAGTTGGTATCACTGGGGATTAATCAGTCTATTCAGAATACCAACTCTCATTCCTAGATACAAGCATGTAAGAGTATGATCATGTGATGTAAGTGACAACTTGCTGTGCGCCCCCAGGTTTAAGTGAAAATAAAAGAAAACAAATCTTTGTTCATCCTTTTAAAAAAATCATAGACTTGATAGAGAAAAACTACTACAATTATAGTAAATTGCCAAGACTAAGGAAATACTCATTGAACGAACTTAGTGTCATTTAGGAAATGTTTAGTAATCAGTAATTATGATTTTCTCAAAATAATCTGGTTTAATTATAACTGAAAGTTTCTGTTACTTTTCTCCCATCTCCCATGGACATCTTGAACACAATTTCTTCATTGCTTTCAATGTAAACATTGCCTACTTTTATCAGAGACAGATAGTTGGAGAAAATAGCAAGAGAATACACTGGAGACAGTCATTTATTTTGGTAAAAAAAAAAAAATGATTACTAGTACCAAATAGTAGTTAGTTTCATTTAAGTTTTTGTTCTTAGAACAGAAAGAAGCAGTAAATAAAAGCATGATTTCTTCTGTATATTATAATACTCTGCATTATGTTTCTACATCTAATTAAAGTCCAAATCAAGATACAAATTTTAATTGCTTTATAACCTAATTTGTTCCAATTCCATCAATATTTTTAAAATATTGCCATTGTTTTGATTCAATGAGTATATTGTTTTGTGTCTAGAATTTTAATCCAAATCTTTAAGCAATATCTGTAATATTACCATTACTATGAACCAAATTTTAATTGACTTAAAAATGTTACAGAATATAATAGCTACTGTATTTGTTCCTTCTCATGCTGCCATGAAGAAATACCCAAGACTGGGTAATTTATAAAGAAAGGAAGTTTAATTGACTCACAGTTTCACATGGCTGGGGAGGCCTCAGGAAACTTAAAATCATGGCAGATGGCACCTCTTCAAAGGGTGGCAGGAGAGAGAATAAGTGCCAGCAGGGAAATGTCAGACACTCAAAAACCATCAGATCTCCTGAGAACTGACTATCATGAGAACAGTATGGGGAAACTGCCCCCATGATTTAATTACCTCCCACCGGGTCCCTCCCATGACATATGGGGATTATGGGCATTACAATTCAAGATGAGATTTGAGTGGGGACACAGCCAAACTATATGAGCTACTCTATTATGAAACATGTATTTCTATAAAATAAAAAAGTAAGCATTTTTCACATTTGGCTAGCTATAATTAATAATGTATTTTTCATGGAATTCATTTTAGAAATGTTCTTTATAAGAAATTTCCATTTGTGATTAAAAACCAGTCCATTCCCAGACCTATAGTGGCATGACCTCACTAATTAGTTATGCATAAATTTAAAAGAAAAAATGTATTTAGATGTTTAATGTTGGTTAATATATTAATAATTTAATGTAGTTTACATAATATGTAACTTAGGCCAAGCCAAATATTGTCAAGTCTGCTTCTTAATTTTAAAATAAACCTCTATTTAAAGTCATAATATATAGACAGGAAAACATATTTAATAAAATGATATCACAACATCAGGTAAGATATATTATCTGTTTTGTTTTTCACATTTGTAGGTAAGTTCTCGTATTCGTATTGCTAATAACTATCTGATTAAAATCTGTGTAATGATTACAATATTCTCTGGTTCAAATCACTTGACAAATATGGTTTCATGCCCCTATTGAGCACTCTTTTCTACAAGTCTGCCTCACGCACTACTGCGTCTACACCTTTCATTCAGTGTTTGTTGCAGTTACCCGCCTTTCTTCAGAAATACTGCAGAATTGAGGCTTATCCCATTTATTTTTTGTCTTTCTGATGCCACATGCCAATATTTGTATATTCCTTCTTATCCACTAAGTTTCATTTTTCACTGTCTTTTAGATCTACTTAAACATTTTATTCTGTATGTATCTCTAACCATCCAGTCACTATCTGTCTTTTAGAATAGAGAAGCAGATGTTCAACAAGATTTAAATGATTCACATGCTTAGGTAACCAAGTCAGAGTAGAAAAAAATACAGTTACAAGACATATTCTAGAAAAACATATTTTCATGGGTGGATGTGATATCTTTTCACCTCCTATCCTCCACCCAATACTTATTGTACGGTAGTTTTGAAGAATCTGTGGACATAGGTAGCCCTTTTTGGACACCACCTTTTTAATTCCAATATGCCTCCCATACCTGATTGAAGAAACTATTATCAAAGAATATTTAATAAAGTGATAATATGTTCATATTACATCAATGTATAATCAATTTATTATTATTATTATTATTTTGAGACAGGGTCTTGCTCTGTCACCCAGGTTATAATAATCAATTTATAAAGTAGTATGCATAGTATGTTTATATTAACATGTATTTATTATTATACTTATATATCATATACTACATATGAATAAAAATCACTTTTATCCTGTTTATACAAAATACATATAGGTATTATTAATGTGTTATATCTTATGTTTTCATACATATGTGCATGTGTGTATGTGTAAATATATATGTGCAAATATATATGTGCATACACCCACATCTCACAATGTTAATGGTTTAGATTATGGTTATTTATCTGAGATGTTTAGTTACATTATGTCAATTTTTATAGAATATGCTATACAAACAATTACAAAAACTGTATGCCATCAAGAATAATCTGAATGACCATCTTAAAACTGGGTTGACTGTCTTTGGTTACTATCGTCTGTTAGGAAAGAAATGATTGAGCAGTGTGGAAGGGAAGGGTATTTCAAATAGGGTAGGTAAATCAGCTGGAATAACCCAATAGATTAATGGGTTGATATATTCTAATTAATATAATTTCTATTTTCCAAATTGAGTCCTATGAAACACTAATCCACAAAATATTTCTGAACAAAAAGACTCCATGCTAAAATAAATTTGGTGAACTCTAGTCTTCTCTTGAAGTTTCTTTTATGCTCTTTAGTATAATAAATTTTCTCAGGAATTATGCATAAAAGAAATTTATTAACTATGTTTAACTCATGTGTCCCAAACTTATTTAATCATTAAATAGTATTAACAGCCCATGGAATAAATAAATGTTCTATGAAGTACAAGCTAAGGAATTATGTTCACATGTAACAGTAGAGGACAATTTAATAAAGAATTTAAAGAGAGAGTTTTGACATTGTGGTGGATAGTAAAATACTAGTTGAAATCAAGTAATTATAGCAGGTGATATTTCTTTTGAGGAATTTAGGAGTTATTAAAAATATATTCTATATTCATCTAAATTTGTTGCTAAGGATGTTTTGGGGGGTCTTAGGCCCAGGGGATGTGGGGAAGGGAAGGCTGCTACACTGCTAAGCAGAGCAGAATGTGAAGAGAAAACACTTGTTATGGCAAACAGCATAACTGAGAACCTGGGACACCTGTAATATCACATGTTCATCTGTGATATCAAACACCCTCCTACATACCCCATATAAAATGAGTCAGGCTCCATTTAATGAAATAGTAATTTAAAAGAAAAAGATGAACAAAAGCCACATAGAACTTATGATAAAGTTCCAGTTAACAAGTACTCCTGTCTGTGGACAGATAGAGGTTAAGCCAGAAAGGATGAAGGTACAAAACAATTTTTTATTTTATATAAATATATATACATATATATATTTTATTATACTTTAAGTTCCAGGGTACATGTGCACAACGTGCAGGTTTGTTACATATGTATACATGTGCCATGTTGGTGTGCTGCACCCATTAACTCATCATTTACATTAGGTATATCTCCTAAAGCTATCCCTCCCCCGTCCCCCCACCCCAATATTTTATTTTATTATATTATTTTTCTCTCAACTTTTATTTTCGGTTCAGGGAGTACATGTGCAGGTTTTGTTGCATGGGTAAATTTTGTGTCACTGAGGTTTGTTGTACGAATGTTCCTATCACCCAGGTAGTGAACATAGTACACGACAGGTAGTTTTTCAACTCATACCCCTTCACACTCTTCCCCCTACCAAGGAGTCCCCAGTATCTATTGCTTTTCTCTTTGTATGTATTATTGTTGTAAGACTATATACTAAAAGGAACTCCATCTCCAAAAGCTCTGAAATGCCTTATATCATTCGTTGTTTCCTAGACCAAAGAACTATTCACTCCTTCATATTTTCACTAACCAGTGATTGCTCACTAATTCCTTCCTAACTTTTATATCAGAACAGTGTTTCTCAAAGTGTGGTCCTTAGACCAGCAGGATCAGCTACACTTAAGAATCTGTGAGAACTGCAACTTCTCAGGATCTACCCTACGACGACTAGACAAGAAACTCTGAGGGCATGGGACAGTAGCCTGCATTTTTAACAAGCCCTCCAGAGAATTCTGATGCGCACTCAAATTTGAGAATCTACTGCAGTAGAAGAATACAATTGATGCCTGCCTAGGATGTTTCTAATAATGATATCAGCCAGTCCTTGTATCAAATCACAAATCTAATTTTAAATAAGCCAAATTTTTTAAACATAGCATTTATGTTATAAAGTACGAGCAGCCCAAAATTTGTACAGGATTTATCTGAAAATGGAATTGAAAGTTGGCATAATAAAACTTGGTACATATTTCCTCATGGGCCTAATGCAACGAAATTGTGGCAAGAGAAACCATTCCAAAGAAGTCTATTTATACTGTACTTTAATTGTACTACAGTATTGATAGCATTAACTTGAATTCTGAGATGAGTGACAATCAGGTTCAAGAGAGAAATGGAAAGGATAGGAAAGTAAAGAAGGAAAAAAATAAATAGGAGAGAGGAGAAATGGTTACCCCCCCTTATTTGGTATAGTGATAACTACAGGTATAATGCAAAAAAAAAATCAGTTTTCTTTGACTCCATTGTAACTACCTACCTATATCAATATTCCAACTTTTAGCTGGCCTCATTTTCAGTAGAGCTGTTCTCCCTCCATAATTCTTACATCATAATATTAGAGTGTGTATATTCTGCTTCTAAGCTTTGAAACTGGTGAAAAAAATATGCCTTCTGGGTTCAAGGAGGAAATATGAGTTAAGCAATATAACAGGGAGTAGTGGTATATATTGCTCCAATCTACTAAAGAGTACTGGGGTTCTAAAGAATTAGAAGTGCATGCTCTAATGAATCCTTTCTTGACACTCTCCATGCTAAACAAATCACATACATCCCTGGAATTAATTTTCCCTGTTATTTGCCAGTTTGTGAGTGCAACATCTAAAAGCTCTTCTCTTCCACGTGCCCCCAACCAAAATTCCAATTTGGGTGATGCAGGTTATCTTACATGATTTCTAGAGAAAATGCAACTAAAGTTAATTACTTCACATTTAACTATGAATGACTAAGAAGACTACTAACTGTCTGGCAAGTTTAGGCAGCTACTCCTGATTTTCAGGTTATTCCCTGCTCTTCTTCTAACCATCAGGTCTTCTTACCTCTGAATTTTATCACAATAGATACAGTAGACATTGGGTGGTATTTTCAGAGTCTAGAAGAAGGACATAAACAATCTCTGTAAGTATAAATAATAGAAAGTTTGTAAGTTTTGAGAACTGCCAATGATTCTTCACATAATATAATCATGGAAAAGACAGGAATCTTCAATCATCACCACAGAGCAAACAACCAAGGAAGGTTCCTGTGATGATTCAAAACCAGATTTCACAGCTTCTCAAAACTGGCTGCTCATTAGGATTCTTGGTGGATTCTCCGTAGCCAGGTGCCACCCTCCAGTCAAAATAAATGAGAGGCTCTGTAGGAGGGGCCCAGGTATTCATATATTCTTAAAAATTTCCCTGTGTAGCTGTAATTCTCAGGATAGAAAACTATTGCCAGAGCATCAGAGTTACTCCAGCCTCCAAATCCAGTCATGCACAAAAGCAAATTCCTCCTTGTAATTCTTCTGAAGGGGTTGGCAAATATTTCTTTAACTTAGAATATGACACCTTAGATATCCCATGACATCCCCACCAGGCCAAATCTACTATCTGCCATTTTGTTCTTGGATTAAAATTCAGTCCCCCTTTAATCTTCAGCAAACTCATACTATGGATTTAATCTGTGTTACTATTTGCTTTGATTCAAAATTTCTTTAATTACATTCATGTCAAATTATTACATTTGAAATATATTCAATCCACAAAATAATATGTGGTTTCTTTTACTGTTTTCTATTCATTTGTGATGGTTTGACAAGGGAAAGATAATTCCATAGGACATGTACATGATGATAATAGACTTTTCTACTTTATATAATAAAATTTGGAATGAATAGCTCATCTTCAGTACCTCAAACGATGTTACAAGAAGGGACAGTAGGAACAGGACAGTTTGAAGGAGGGGCAGGGTAGATGAGGGCATTTTACATTAAAATAGGCTACTCAAGTGGACCAGTTTTCAGTTACTATAGTCACAGGACATAACCCAAAGGTGTTTATAAGTGTTCCTCCCAATGAACTTTATTAGATTAAAATATAGCCATTAAATATTCCACAGAAATGCACGTCCTATACTTGTCTTTGGGTAGTCCTATAGTTGTGGTCATTTGTCATAGTTAAATTATGCCCATTCTCAAAATAGCACATCAGTTCCAAGGGATTATAAAGGTCAGCTTTTACTAGCATGACAGAAATCAAAGGGTGATTTCATGTTCCTTAACTAGGGACAAAAGGTCACAACTATTAAATCTTTAAATCCATGTGCTGTGATGGGCTTTATCTGTTAAAGGAAAAAGAAGAATTCATGATATAAGCTTAATCTAATTTATGACTGTATAATCAGGAACAACTTAGGTGTTTAAGAGGTACTATATTCTTTACTATAACACAAGGCTCAATAGTTAAGAAGCAACAAAGTAAACAAATTTGGATGACTGGCTATACTAACACCATTTCAATTTCCTAAATTATCTTGTCCTTCACAGAAATTCATACAGAGACTGTAAGAAGTAAATATTCACAATCTCAGCATCTCTTACAGCTAAGGATGGCCACATAGCATAGCAGTTCTTGCCATGAGACATAGGCAGCAGTCTGCTGAAGGGAGTCTGAAAGAGATACAATTGGTGGTTTCTTCTCCTTTCTTCAGGCCTCAAATAGTAGCTGAACGGTGGCTGTCAGCTTGTAATCAGAAAGAAAAGGCAAAGAGAATCATCAAGACACCAGTCCTGATAGCACTGAAATGTCACACCAATGCCAGAAAAGGCCTGCCTCTAGATTTCTTGTTACGTAAAATTTATTGAGGACATAGTTAGTTGGTTATTCTTTTACTTGTAGTAAAATGCATACCTAACTTAAATCCAGCCTCAACAAAACAGTTTTTATTCCAAATTTATATTTTTCCCATCATTAATAGTTCCAGTATTGGAAATATTTGCCATACTTAACAAATAAATATTTAATAACTATCTCTCGAAAAAGAAAAAAAAAACTCCTTATCAGTAATATTGGCCAACTTTTATGTTATAAATAACCCTACTGTATTAGTCCATTCTCACGCTGCTATAAAGAAATACCTGAGACTAGATAATTTATAAGAAAAGAGGTTTAATTGAATCACAGCTCCACATGGTTGGGGAGGCCTCAGGAAACTCACTATCATGGCAGAAGGCACCTCTTCACAGGGAGGCATGAGAGAGAATGAGTGCTGAGCAAACGGGGAAGCCCCTTATGAAACCATCAGATCTTGTGAGAACTCACTTAGTATCAGGAGAACAGCATGGGGGAAACCACCCCCATGATTCAATTATCTCAACCTGTTCCCATCCTTGACATGTGGGGTTTATTACAATTCAAGGTGAGATTTGGCTGGGGACACAGAGCCAAACCATGTCACCCACCATGATAATTTTAAAATACCAATATGATGTCACTGAATGCAGAGTTAGGAAAAGATTCACACCATTGAATCTCATGAGTCAATTCCAAACAGCCTCAGCACACCACTAGATAGTCCCCTAATTACTAACTACAGTTTCACGAAACTATTAGAGTTCATTGTTTTTACTTTCAATTTCATTGTAACAGAGAACAGAGTTTATATAGACAGGAACTTAGAGCTCAGAATTATTGACTGTCAAGATAAATTGGCTACATTTATTAAATTGAAAGTAGCTATCATAATTTATGTAAAACTTTCAGTAGGAACTTAGAAGTTGTCCTGTCTCAAGCCAAATGCACTCATTAACTCAATACGCATAATTTCCAAATGTCTCCTCGTAGGAAAGAATATAATCTAATTCACTCTCATATCAGATAAAATTTAATACATAGATTTGAAAACAATGTGGTTATAACGTTAAATAACTTGCATGGAAAAATGTTTTAGCTCTCACAAATATCCGTAACTCTATCTGTGATCGGGAATGAGAATGCACGATTCTCTAGTCTTCTAACTAATCTTGCAATAGGACTGCTCTCATACCCAATTACCTAATGAGAGTGAAACTTACAATATAGTACAAAATACTTTAGTAGTTATTATCTATGAAAAGTATTACCTACAACTTCCCTAGTAAAGTCTCTGTGCAGAAGAATTCTCACATATTCACGCAAAGCGAAATCTTAACACTGAAGATTTTTGTTTGTTTTTGTTTTTACTCACCAAAGCAGGTCTTCTACAAACATAAACAATGAATTACCTGCTTTTTTGGGATGATACGAGAATATAATTTTCCTGGGATGGATAAGTACAGGCTTCATTACCAAAGTGACTACAGATATTGAATGGCCTAGTAAGAAAATATTTTCAAATGTAATAGTGTGCAGTTCTGAAAAGAACATGCCTTTCAAAATGTCTCTGATTTCTCGCTCACATTTTCCCTTGTAAAATCCCCAGTAGCTTTGTCAAATTTGACGTTTGTATTATTCTGAGAGTATCTAATTGTTAGTGGTATAGTACTATAAGGTTACAATTTAAGAGCATTAGCTCAAACTGAAAAAATAAGTTCAATTACATTATATTCTTGTTTTAAGTAAGGATAGGTAAAATACTAAAGGTATAAATCTAATGTGTTTCAAAATAGTTATTTTGTCTACCATTTATATATTACTCTTTGTAATGAGCTCTTTATAATCATGATGTATGGATAAAATAAAATCTATCTACCTACCTTTGGATATAGCAATCTTTTATAGTTGGGATTTGTAATAAAATATGAATTATATCAATGTGAAATTGGTCACCAGAAAGATCTTTTTATAGTAGACCTCAAGATCAGATCAAAGATAATCTTTATTCCTTTTTTTTAAAGATAAAAACTACTTAGCTGATTTTCTTCTGAAAAAAAAATCTGAGTTTATTTCAAAAAACCTTTCATGACACAAACCCATAGGTACATTTTATTCAATTATTCATGTATTATCCTATGCCAGTAAAAGATCTAAAGATGTAGCAAGATGCTAAATGATTACAAACCACAAAAATGTCATAAGAGAAATCAGGGCTAATTAAATTTACAACTGATTTTAAAAGATTAACAGCATGGAGCTGTATATGTTACACTGGGATATTTCTAATTACAGGAAAGCATCCAAATCAATAGATCAAATACCCATATTTGCTGTTTCCAAGCAAGAAAAGACAATTGCAAATTCATTGTCTTGAAATGCTTTTAAACACTGAGATTTTACCCTTAGGTTAACTGTAGTTTATGTCTGAAAGTGTAAAAGTTCTGTTTCTGTTTCAGGTTATTCATTTTGTAATAAACAATTTTCTCCCAAAGCACAGGGCTTCCCATGGGTAGTACTCACATTATGATTGTTGAAGTCACGTACATCAACCATAATCAGTCAAAAGCATTGTTCCTTGAGGAAATGAATTAAGAGTATGCAGTTGTGACGGGAGAAAAAATAATTGTCAAAGTTTCACATTGCTATGACTCCTCATCAAATGATGAGCTGAGACTAATGTATAAAATCAATCTAATGAAGCACAAACTTGTATTATCAATGTACATTATAATCATCTCTGTCTTCAATTTTAAAAAATTCTGATTACAACGTAAAAAAATCTTCAATAGCGCTACAAAAATATGTTTAAACACCTTACATAAAATTTATTTTTATATCCCTCGAGGCATTGTTACAACACGCTCTTGTTGTCTAAATTTCCCCTGACATTTAACTAGGTCTAGACACAATCTAAACAAATTTTTAAGTGTGCTTTTTCTGGTATTACTGTTTGCCCCACCACATTATATTTTTGCTGTGCACAACAAGTGGCTACAAAAGAAAAAAAATCTTTAGTAATAGTAGCCACCCTTTAACTTTAGAATTAACAAAACAATATCAAAACTGTAACATATTTATATATATACACATATGTGCGTGTGTGTATATATATATACATGTATAACAAAAATGCTGGTTTTATAAATGTACAGAAACTAAAATATTCAAAGCAAATATTAGTTTATCCTTTACTTGAGGGACTCTAAACCCTTAAAGGAAATGACCTATCAAAAATACAAAGATATATATTGAAAATTAGATAACCTGTTGGACCATCTATATATTACTCTTTGTAATGAGTGACAACACACCCCACCTGATTTAGATTCCTAACAAAAGCTGAATTTCACAGATAAAAATATAACAATTCAATTATTGCATTTTTAAAGTGACTCTCAATAGTAGAATCTAGTATGGAATGTTACATATACGTAGATTAATTTTTCTTTAGATATGAATTTAAACTACCCATTTCCAAGACACACAAATTTGCATGAATGTCGTTTTCAGAATATCTTTGTGGATCCTTTTCTTATTTCCCCCATGTTCTGGCAAGTTTAGATGTAGCATAATGATAAATAGAATTAATTTGTAGAATTAATTCCTAAATTAACACATTTTTTCCAAAACAATGATCTGCAACAGATTTATAGTAGATATCCCTCTGCATTTTTCAGATAATTATAGCTGCAAGGTTATCGTCCAATAACATGTATAAACAATAGCAATTTTAAAGCAATGTATGAAACTACCCAACATATTTTTTTCACATTATTATTTTAGGGTATCTACTTAAAGCCAGTTCTATTAACCTTGGAGCTGAATGCTAAGGGCATTCTATTTAAGAAAGTTTTCCATTCTTCACTTTAAAATCTAAGAAGCTTGTTAAATAACCTAAATAATGGAGTGAAAAAAGAAGGAAACTGTGGTTTTAAATTCGAAATAACTGATTTCTCCCCAAAACTGTCCGAAGCACCATTGTTTTGTGACTTATAGCTATCATTATCAACTCGTACTACTTGTAAAAATACCTTACTAAAGTTCTGAAGAAATTCTGCTCTGCTATCTTCTGAACACTTTGCTGGTGTGCAATTTACACAACTCCTGGTGTTTCTTACTAACTTTCGTTTTCTTTTGTGATCTTTCCTTTAACCTCACTTCAGAAATATACTTGGACAGTGACTTCATACCTCTGTCCTCTTCAGCATCCAGCAATGTACATAAAGAAATCTTGAATGGTCCTGTGATTTTAACGTCCACAATTTGCTGCGTGTCCAAAGGCGAAAGGAGCGGGCTCAGGCAGCTGAAAAACTTCATCCTTAGAGAGAGCTTAACAGCTGCTTCCATTTACAGCTTTAAAAACGTATCCTGGTTTACAAGAGTTTGCATATGTAGGCCAGACTACCAAACACCAGAAGATTTATTACAAATGAAATTTACACGTGCATGGGGGTGGGAAGCGCTGCAAAAACCTTAGACTCCTCACTTCTGCTGCTTTACTGATTTTCAACTCGTATAGTTGTACCTCGGGCATGCAAGTCTTCCTGTCTAGCGCTCTGACGTTTTCCTTCAGCACAGCTGAGGTGAAACTTCTCAGATTTCTTAACTCTGCACTTGGCCACGCCCTGACAAGGCAAGCTGTCCTTCGCCGGCCCTCCCTCCCTTCCTCAAGCTACCACAATATTTATTTTAACTCAATCTGACCAATCCTTTGTGTTTAATTTTTAAAACAGCCTACCATCCTATAACAAAATTCAATATTCAGTGGGCTTTCTTTAAAAAATAATAAATAAACCCCCCACTGATATCCACTTGGCCTAAAAGGAAAAGTTGGGTTTCTGCTTTCCCTGAGAGCAGCACTCCCTTATCCCTGGAACGCCGCGCCCTGCGTGGTTCCCCGCCCTCCCCACGCGCGGGGGCGCCCTGACAGTCCCCTGCTGCTCCTCTGCTGGGCGCCACAACTTTCCCCAACCCGTGCCAACTTCCAGGGCACAGCCTCTGCGGAGAGTAGCAGGGTACAGTGAATAACCCAGACACTAAAAAGCAAGGCAGCGGGGGTCCTACCAGCGCGGCTTTTGATGACGTCGGTGAATCCGTCCTCAGCGGCATTTTCTGGGGTCTCCTGCAGACCCCTCAGCTGTGCCATAACCAAACGCCACGTGCCTCAGCTTCCTCACGCCCCAAACTTTGGAAGGCAGGTGGGTCCGCGTGCGGTCCGTTTGATGCTCTCCACAGCAGGTCTCGCTGAGGATCTAGTGTGTCTGAGGATGGATTTTCCCTCCTCCCTAGGCCCTCAGCCACGGAGATGGGGATGCGGGGGGCGCGGGGCGGCTGGGGGGAGCTTGAAAACGCAGAAACACAGACACCTTAGCGTGGGTTGGTTGAAAGAGGGCGCCGTCAAAATGCCCACCCCATCCTTAGAGACGAAAAACAGGTGCTGTTCCCAGCTCCTGGCTCTAAAATAGAGTGGGCGAGGCCTGGAAGGTGAAAGCTGAGGAGGGACCTGGTGGTCAATACACCCACAAGCAAGTTGACGACTCGCTTTTCCACGCTGCGCAGAATCGATGCAAAAACAGGAGCAATTAGGGAGCCGCTTGCCAAAAGCAGCACATGAGGTCATGAATGATTTAGCATTGCCACTTAGAAGATGACTACACTGACAAGAAGGGTCACTGGTTTTAGCTATCTGGGTCACTTACACGTGTGTACCCCACTTTTGTATCCTGACTTGAGTGCACTGACCAGACATGGGTAATATATGCCAAGGACTATCCATTTTCTTAGGAGATTTCACCAAAGCTACCCACTCTTCTCTCAGTGCATATGTTCACTCTGACTGCCTCCTCCATTCCTTCCTCCCACCACTGAGGCTAGAATTAGATTGGACTATAAACAGCTCGTATGACTTTATTTTCTAAAAATTTCAGAAGTGACTTTCATTTGGTTAGTATCCTTACTCCCTCCCCCACCTCCCCACACACATAACTCATCCTGCATTTCTTCCTGCAGTAGCCCAATAACTTTAAATCCTATCCATCATCTACTGAAGAAAAATTAACTTTGCAAGAGGAACTTGGCAAGGGACCTAGCAATAGCTAAGGATTTTCTTTTCTTGTTTTCGTCTGCATTTTCATTCAAAGTAGATGCTTATCCTTTTCTAAAACACTGGCTCTCGACTATGACTAGACATTGGAATCATCTGTGGAGTTTTACCAAAAAACTGTTTCCTGGTTTCCACACCCAGAGATGCCGATTAATTGTTCTGGTGATTCCAATGTGCAACCAAGTTTTAAAAACATTGATAAAATGGCCTGTACACAGTCAATTTGGCGCCTTCTTTAAGACAATTTTGCCAGCGACTCTGTTCCATTCCTATTATAATACCTTTAATAAAAACCTAATATGTTTGCCGTCCTGTTTTTCATTGCCAAGTTGACCCTTTTCATGGCAGTGGATACTTTATTTTGACAAAAACTTAGTGGTTAGTCTTGACTACAGAATTTTCTTAGATTCAACCTGCGCTGACTCTCAGGATGGATTGTCAACTGGGTACCTTTCAATTAGATCTTGATCTTGAGAATTTATGCCTATTGGAAATCTTTGTTGACAGAAGACCTCTTAGGTTTCCCAAGTGCCCATTTTTTTTAGACTCGTCAGTTCTATTTTTAGCAATTTCAAGTGGGAAATATTTAGAATTATAGCACAGCTCCTATTAAAGAGAGGTATAAAAGTATGAAAATTATCCAGAATTTAAAAAAAAAAAGGGTTGTGACATAGTACATTTTATATCATCAAGCCACTACTATTAGAAGAATATGGTATTGGAACAGGAAGAGACAAAATGGAAAAACAAAGTAGTACTCAGAAATAGATCCAGCCAAAGGGAATGTACTAAATATGACATTTTAATTCATTCATTAAAAAACTGAATATATAATGATTATCTTTTCATAAAGTTAGACTTTCCTAACTTAAACTAAAAAAATTCTAGATAGATTACAGATTCAACTATACAAAAATGAAACCAAATAAGTGATGAATCTATAGCAGTTTGAGTTATGGGGCATTCTTAACCCAAACACTAATTCCAGATGACTTTAAGGAGAAAAATGGGCCTGGGGCAGTTGCTCACACCTGTAATGCCAGCACTTTGGGAGGTCAAGGCTGGCAGATCACTTGAGGCCAGGAGTTCAAGACCAGCCTGGCCAAAGTGGCAAAACCACATCTCTACTAAAAATACAAAAATTAGCCAGGCGTGTTGGCGCCAGCCTGTAATCCCAACTACTCTGGAGGCTGAGGCAGGAGAATCACTTGAACCCAGGAGGCAGAGGTTGCAGTGAGCTGAGATTGGGCCATCACGCTTCAGCCTGGGCCACTCCATCTCAAAAAAAAAAAAGAAAGAAAGAAAAATGACACTTGCTACTACATAAAAAATAAATATTTCTATAAAGCCAAAGATGTTACAATAGAGCAAAAAGACAATAAACTGAGAAAATACACTTAGAATATCTATCACAAAGACTTAATATCTCTATTTTAATACAAGTCTACAAATTGATTTGAAGACAGAAATACAATTTAAAAAATATATAATCTGAACAGAAAAACCACAAAAGAGGACAGGCAAATAACCAATACAATTATGAGGAAGTAGTCAATATTCTCATAGTCAAAAAGGCAAAATGAAATAACATTTCCTGCCCATGAGCTGGACGAGAAAACAAACAGATGGAATAACATTCAGTGCTGGAATGGGTGTGAGAAAAGAAGCTCTTAATAATCTCTACTGGTGAAGTATTGATACAATATTTTAAGAAAGTAACCTGAGAACAGCTATGGAAAAGTCCACAATCTTTTGCCCATCAATCCCTCCTTAAGAATCTATCAAAAATAAAATCACTAGTATGTAAGGATATATGTAAGATTGTTTACTGAAGCCGTGTCTAAAAGAATACATTCATTGAAATCACTCTAAATGTCTTTCAACTCAGAACTCACTGAAGCAATCTGATTATACCAAATAATGGGGTATTTAGTACCTGCTAAAAGTATGTTATGTACCTTATACAAATTATTATCGGACTAAATACAGTGCTATATTCGAAGAACAATATATCACAACAAAACTGGGTGTATTTGGGCAAGGAAACGTCATTTTTTTTCTTTTTCATTTCAGAATTTTGTTTTAATTTTTAATTTTTGTGGGTACAGAGTAGGTATATCTATTTATAGGTTATATGAGATATTTCAATACAGGCACACAATACATAATAATCACATCAGGGTAAATGTTGGATCTATCACCTCAAGCATTTATCCTTTCTTTGTGTTACAGACAATCCAATTATACTCTTTAAGTTATTTTACAGTGTACAACAAATTATTGTTTACTGTAGTCACCCTGTTTTGCAAACAAATACAGATCTTATTCATTCTATCTAACTATACTTTTGTACCTATTAACCATCCCCACTCTCCATCCCATTACCCTTCCCATCCTCTGGTAACCATCATTCTACTTTCTATCTTGATGAGTTTAATTGTTTTAATTTTTAGCTCCCACAAATAAGCAAGAACATGCAAAGTTTGTCTTGCTGTGCCTGGCTTATTTCACTTAACATAATGACCTCCGGTTCGATCCATGTTGTTGCAAATGACAGGGTATCATTCTTTTTATGGCTGGATAGTTCTCCATTTTGTATAAGCACGACATTTTCTTTATCCATTCATCTGTTGATGGACACTTACGTTGCTTCCAAATCTTGGCTATTGTGACTAGTGCTGCAATAAACAAGAGAGTGCAGTTATCTCTTTTATATACTGATTTCCTTTCTTTTGGATGTATACCTAGCAATGAGATTGCTGAATTATATAGCAGGTCTATTTTCAGTTTTCTGAGGAACTTCCAAAGTGTTCTACATAGTGGTGGTTCTAATTTACATTTCCATCAACAGTATAAGAGGGTTCCCTTTTCTCCACATTCTCACCAGCATTTGTTATCACCTGTCTTTTGGATAAAAGCCATTTTAACTGGGATGAGATGTTATCTCATTGTAACACTTGAAAACCAATTGATGTGACCCATCACATTAAAAATATGAAGGATGAAAACAAATATAAAAAAAGTATTGGAAAAAATTAATTCCCTCACATGAACACGTGCACTCTCGCGTGCACACACACACAAACACACACACACCCTTCCTGGGAAACTGGAAGTAGAAGAGATGTAACTTGATCTGATAAAAAGTATCTATAAGTAATCTACAACAATGTATTTAATTAATATACTACTTAATATAATAAGTCAGGAAAATGAAATTAAAGGTATACAGTTAGAGCGAAAAAAGCTTTTATTATTTACAGACTAAACATGCATAGAAAATTCGAAGAACCATCAGATAAAATATTAGAATTAATAAGTGGATTTAATGAGGTTTCTGGATACCATGTGAATATCCAAAAGTTAATTGTAATTTTCAAGAGTAAACAGTTAGAAAGTGGTATTTTTTTAAAATAATGCCATCAATAAATCAAAAATAAATAAATGTATAAAATATGTTTGAGATACCTAAGCAGAAACATATATTATGAATGAGAGGATTTAAAGAAAACGTATCTAAATGGAAAACTATGTCATGCTCATGGGTTGGCAGAATCAACATTATAAAGATGTAAACTCTCAAAAATTGATCTGTAGAGTCACTGAAATCCTAATCAACCCCATCAGGAGTGTGCGTGTGTGTGTGTGCGCACATTATAAAAATTTATGTGGACATGCAAAGGTCCAACATAGCCACGACAATCTTAAAAAGAACAAAGTGGGAAATTTTATACTAACAGATATTACCAATTATTATGAAACAATTGAAATTCAAACAGTGTGTTTTTGGTGTGAATACAGATAACTAGAACAATGGAACATAAGAGAGAGTCTAAAAACAGGCTCACACATATATAGTTACCTGATTTACAGCAAAGGTGACACTGAAGTTCAGTAGGGAATGAATCGTCTTTTCTATAAATTATGTGGGATCAACTGGAGATTAGATTTTAGACTTAAATGTGAAAGCTGTGAAAGAAATAATTCTAGAAGATAACATAAGAGAATAGTTTCATGACCTTGGTGGGGACATTTTTTAAACAAGATATAAAATCACCAGCTTAAAAATATTGGCATATTGGCTTCATTAAAGCAAGAAATTTTACTCATCAGAAGGCTTCACTAGGAGATCACAGAGTGGGAAATAATATGTTAATGAAATGTTATATTAAGCAAGCAAATTATACTTTAATATTTATAGTATCTCATTGAAAAAATAAAACTCTATATGAGTGTGTGTTTTGTTTAAATAAGCAACTACAGAAAACATACATATGAACACACAAAAGAGACACTATGAGATTATAAAAGTGAAGGAATAGTTTATGAGCCTCTGAGCTGCTTAAGCTTCTAAAGGCTGATAGAGTAGGTAACTAGAAATGTTGCTTATTATTTCATTCTTTAAAAACATTTTCAAAAGTTAGTTTGAAGTCTGCCTGGAAACTGTCTGGTGAAGATGATCAAGGCAATGAAAAGGAAACTATTAAAATCTTTAAAATCTTCCTTATTCCAAATCCACACTGTTGTATTGTCATATTGGCTTCATTAAAACAAGAAATTTTATTCATCAGAAGACCTCACTAAGAGACAGAGAGACTGAAAAAGGAAATCAGAGAATGGGAAATGATATTTGTGTATACGTTTAAAAAAAAAAAGCTAGTATCCAGAATATATTTTAAAAACTCATAACAATCAATAAAAATCTATTTTTAACAAAATAAGTGAAAGATTTTAAAATATGTTGCACCAAAAAGATATCAGAATGACCAATAAAAATATGAAAGAACCAGATACAGAGCACTTGCCTGTAGTCCCATCTACTCAGGAGGCTGACACAAGAGAGTCACTTGAGCCCAGGAGTTTGTGTCCAGCCAGGATAACCTAGGGGAGACTTTGTCTCTTAAAAAAAAAAATGAAAGGATGTTTAACATTGTAAAAGCATCAAGTAATTAATATTAAAACCACAAAGCAAAACAACTACATACCCATTGTAATGGCCATAATCAAAATTAAAAAAAAAAAAAACAGAACTGAAAATACTAAGTATTGTTGTAAGTGTGATGTGATTGGAAAACCCTTCCACACTGTTTATGGAAGTGAAAATTGACCCTCCTGCTTTGACAAACTATTGGTAGAATATACTAAAACAAAAATGTTGCATTCTGCATGACATATAAATTCCACCTTTAAGATAGATTAATCAAAAGATAGGAACAGTAAGGTTCAGTGCAGTGTTTGTCATAATAGCCACAATTAGAAACAACCCTTATATGCCGCAACATTAAAATTAATAAAGATACATGGCTCTATTCAAATAAATGAATGCTATACAGAAATAGAAATGAATGGACTACTGATACATGCAATACCATGCGTGGACTTCACAGACATAATTTGAGTGAAAGAAACCAAACATAGAAGGTGTGTATTATGTAATTATATTTATGCAAGGGTTAAAAGTAGAGAAAACCCAACCTATGCTAATAGAAAACCAGGTAGAACCAATTTATGGTGTTACACGATAAAAGTGGTTACCTTTAGAGGGAAGCAATGTTCGGGACCAGGTAACAAAAATGCTTGTGAGATTATTAAAATGCCTATATCTTGATCTGGGTGATCGATATACTCAATGTTAATTGTGTAAAAAGTAATGAAGCTCTGCATTTATGATTCATGTATTTTTATGTATGTATCTTTCTGTGTCATATTCCGTTTTTTAAAATAAGCATAGATTAAAGTTACATGTAAATATTTTTAGATATATTTGTGGAATGCTGTATGAAACAAGCAAATTATAGTTTGATATTTATAGTATTTCAGGGAAAAAATAAAACCCTGTATTATGTGAGTGTATATATTGTTTAAGCAACTGTATAAAAATGTGTATGAACACACAAAGGGGAAACTATGACATTATAAAAGTGAAGGAAGATTTTGTGAGCTTCTGAGCTTCTTAAGCTTCTAAAGGCTGATAGAGTAGGTAGCTAGAAAGGTTGCTCATTATTTTATTCTATTGAAAACATTTTCAAAAGTTAGTTTGAAGTCTGCCTGGAAACTGTCTGTGAAGATGATCAAGCAATAATCATCTTATAGTCTTCCATATTCCAATTCTAAACTGTTGTATTTATTTCAACAAATATAAAAATAGATTTCCTAACATTTTCTTATTCAAAAATGTTGGGGTTAGAGAGGTTAGAATACCTCTCTTTAGATGAGCCATTTACATCTAGATGACTGCTTAACTGGCTCATACAAATTTCAGATATTGTTCCCTTAGGATATTGTCCAGAGTAAAAGAATTCCATGGACTCCTGCAGAATGTTCAGTTACTCTACACCACAGAATGCATTTGCACCTAAGGAGAT
Organism: Homo sapiens; assembly: GCF_000001405.40. Lineage (NCBI taxonomy): Eukaryota > Metazoa > Chordata > Mammalia > Primates > Hominidae > Homo > Homo sapiens. The sequence goes on from NC_000023.11 coordinate 33,733,906, forward strand.
ATGAGACATTCAAATAATATCATGTCAAAGAGTTTTTTTCAGATTACCTGCTAAAGCCATTTATTATTATTTTTTAAATTATACTTTAAGTTCTGGGATACATGTGCAGAACGTGTAGGTTTGTTACATAGGTATACATGTGCCATGGTGGTTTGCTGCACCCATCAACCTGTCGTCTACATTAGGTATTTCTCCTAATGCTATCCCTCCCCTAGCTCCCCCACCCTCTGACAGGCCCTGGTGTGTGATGTTCCCCTCCCTGTGTCCATGTGTTCTCATTGTTCAACTCCCACTTATGAGTGAGAACATGCAATGTTTGGTTTTCTCTTCCTGTGTTAGTTTGCTAAGAATAATGGTTTCCAGCTTCATCCATGTCCCTGCAAAGGACATGAATTCATCCTTTTTTATGGCTGCATAGTATTCCATGGTTTATATGTGAAGCCGTTTATTTTATGAACTGTCCAACTAGAATATGAACAATATAGTATAATTAACCAAAACTCCGCCAATTTAATTGTGAATGGATTATTATATCTTAGAAGTTCTCAAATATGGCACATATGTATTACACTAAAAATAAGCCTTCCACGAAGTTTCATGTAGTTTCCTTTAGCAGAGAATGCTGAACTCTATTATAGATGTATGTTTTATGTACTGTCATCACTTTATATAGAAATATCCATCGATTGCATGAGAGAACTTTCATGAATCAACATGGCTATTAGTTTTCTCTTAACAGAGATATTTTAGAAAACACAGTTAGAAATATGTGTATTTTAGGGATGCAGAGAAAGCATTTTTCCCTAGGAGACTGGAAATTTAGTTTATATTTTTAGATTCCTGTCATGGGTTCTGCAAATGTTTCTAAGAAACATTTTCTACACAATCAAGGATAATTTGAATCACAACATTTTCTTATTCTTCCAAATGTATATTTTTTAGGGATCTCTTTGAAATTTTTGACTACTAGAATGATCTAAATTTAAGCATGCACTTGCCTTCTGGTGTGTCCTCAGACTGGGTGAGTTCTGGGAGAAGAGGGAATGTTGCCTCAGTAATGATGATCTACTAATGCTAGAGCTAAAACCTATGTGTTAGACTTTTCTGTTAACTATCTAAAATGATCAATATCCCTTGCTTCTCAAGATCAGTTTCGTAGATTGAATCTTGTAAAGAGGTTAATTTTTCTCATCCTCACTGATCATCATGCTAAGTCCCAGAGGTAAGGAATGGTAAAGAAATTATACCTCTTGATCGGGTAGTACCGAAGTTCTGGAAGAATGTGTGGAATTGAAGATGTTCCTGTCATAATTTTTAGAAATGCAATTTGTCACATGGTAAAGAAAAAAATGATGCTCTGTATGGTTAAGAGAAGATTTGGGCAACAACCCAGTTGTATTTGGCAAAATGAATCTGTGTGTAGAAGTTGTTTATTTTTACTTTTGGCTTCTGTCTGCGATAAAAATGAATGATCAGCATTTCTTTCTAGACTTGGTCCATATCAAATTTATTTCCTATTTATATAGATCATCTTAAAGAGACCACTACTGTCTGCAATTCTAATTTTTGGATTTTTATCTTGGCCTGAAATTTTCACTCAGAAACTAGTATGCTTCCTCCTTCTGTTACTCACTAAGCTGGCCTTTGACTTGACATTATGGACTTCTGGAAACAGCTGTGCTATAACTGTATCTCAAAAATGTTTACTCCTCATCAGTTATTTAATCAGGAATGGCTATGCATTTGATAATTTTTGGCAAATACTGGGTCTCCAAACGATAATAGTTTTAGAACTGCTGATGGTAGTAGCTACTTAGTAGTTTATTCCAGACTTTTAAAAAAGAAAATGAAATTCAGAATGCTCTCTAGGTCACACAGAAAATTAGTAACAGATCCATAACTGGAAGTAGATTCTGAGACAAGAAATTGAAGGAACGTAATTTATTTGGGAGGCAATACCTGGTAATACTTTGCTGCATAACAAGCCACCTCAAAATGCAGTGGCTTAAAACAATGACAGCCTTTATTTTGTTTACAAGTTTGTAAATTTAGGCAGCATTTGACATAAACAGCTGATCTCTGCCCCAGATGGTATCATAGGGAGAGGCTCAAAGGCTGAGGACTAGAATTTTCTAAAAACGTATTCCCTCCTCACTCATGTATTTGTGGTTGATACTAGCTGCTAGTTGAGACCTTTGCTGGGTTTGTGATCAGAACATTTATACATGGCCTTTCTGCGTTACTGCTTGGCTTCTTCATAGTAAAGAGGCTGGCGTCCAAGTTGATAGTTAGAAAATAGAAAGCCAGGAAGAATCTATAACATCTTTTATGACCTAACTTTGTAAGTCATCCAACGTCACTTCAGCCACATTAAAATCAGGAAGCCCATCACCAAGGCTTCATACTTGAAGTCCCATGTCTCTGCGCTCATTTCCTACTACCCCCTTCTCTTTCTCAGTTTGCTCCAGCTATACCCATGCCTCATAAAATATTCTATCCTCAAAGATTATGTGTCTTGTCTTGCAAAAACCTAAACCATTCAGAAACAGACATAAATGATTTACCTTACTGAAATAGGGGCTAATTTTTTCCAGTATCTCATTCCAACCTGATCGCTTTATGTGTATTTGGGCATATGTGTGCAATATAAGGATATTTATTCAGCATCTGGTATATCCTAGGTGCTGGAAATACAGCGGTAAGTAGACAGTCTCGTTCTATGGAACTTCCAGTATTTTTGGGGAGGTAGGAAAACATTGCTCAAATAATCACAGAGATATAACCTTTCAGATGTGTCAAGGAAATATACATGTTGCTTTAGTGCCTATAATAGCAACAATTGGCTTCTTTGGAAGAGGGTAGAGAGGGCTTATTTGAGGAAGAGATGATTCATTTGAGATCTATAAATAAGACCTAACTCACTGAAAGATTTTTTTTGAAGTCCTGTTAGGGTCAATGGCCTACTCATGATCTTCTTGTAAATATAAAATATATATATATTTCAAACTTAATATGTTGAAAACATGGCTCAATCTCTCCTACCCATCTCCACCAGATATGGTCTTCCAAATGCTGTCTTCATCACTGTGAATAGCAGCACCAATATTCCAGTTTTGCAGGACACAAGACTTAATTATTCTTAACATCATTCTTAATATCATTCCTTAATATTCACTTTATTTTTCATACCTTACCTTCAAATATATCCAGAACCTGACTATATCTTCCTACCTCCATAGCTGCTTCCCTGATTCAAACCATCATCATCACTCTGCTGATATGTTGCATACCCTTCTATATGTTTTTCACTGGTTTGTAACCCATTAGTGAGCCATAAAATTAATTAATTTATGCCTTGTAAATAGCAGTAAAACAATGCCTTGCAATATAATAGAAAATATTGAATTGCATAATGCATAGATCAATTTTTTGTAAAACGTATTTCAGTTTTATTTATAAATATATAAACATGTAGACATATATGTCTAGATGTATATGTACACATGTGTGTGTCCATATATCCTGAATCTCAATATAAAATACTCTTACTGTGTATGAATTTAAAATTTTTGAAAGGTATTTGGATTCTTCCTGCTTCAACTTGTAGCCTCACTCGGGAGTACTCTGAAAACAGTAATCAGAGGGATTTCCTCTACAGGCAATACATTTTAATTAATTAATTAAATATATAAGGCAGATAAAGATACATCTCTATTCAAAATACTTAATGGACTCCCATTTCGTTAAAAATAAAAGCCTATTGTAAGTCATTACAATGGCCTGTGAGTCACATATTCAGCCCATACCTTCTCCCTTTCTCTCTAACCTCATCTCCTGCTAATCTCACACTTGCTCATCAAACCCAGTCAAACTGGTCTTCTCGCTGTTTGTAAAACACTCCGAGCACATACCGACTTCAGAACTTTTGCACTTACTATTTTACCTGCCTAAAGTTACTTCCCTTTATGTAAGTTCATGTCGTCCTCCCTCGCCTCTTTCACGTTTCTTACCTTCTCATTGAGTCATCCATAGCCTGCCTATTTTAAATTTCTGTCATCTATCTTCAATGCCCTACAGTCCCCATCATCCTTGCCTATTTTATATTTCTCCATAACGCTTGTAATCTCTGATGTACCATGCATTTTACTTATCTGATTATTTTCTGTTTCCCTTGACCCACATTAGACTGTGAGCTTCATATGGTAATTAGTTTTGTCTATACTGTAATCTGCACAATTCCCAATGACTAGTACACTCACTATTATGTAGAAGGTAATCAATAAGTTGTTGAATGGATGGAGGGAAGGAGAAAAGGAGGGAGGCTGGATCAATGGATGGATTAAAAAAAACAAATGAAAGAAATAGAATTTCAAGGATCGGGAATGAGACGTAAAACAGCTCTCTAAGGCTGGGTGCGGTGGCTCATGCCGGTAATCCCAGAACATTGGGAGGCTGAGGCGGGCAGATCACCTGAGGTCAGGAGTTCCAGACCAGTCTGGCCAACATGGGGAAACCCCATCTCTACTAAAAATAGAAAAACTAGTCAGGCGTGGTGGTGCACCCCTGTAATCCCAGCTACTTGGGAGACTGAGGCAGGAGAATCGCTGGAACCAGGGAGGCAGAGGTTGCAGTGAGCCAAGATTGCGCCGCTGCACTCCAGCCTGGGTGACAAGAGCAAGACTCCAGCTCAAAACAAAAACAAAAACAAAACAAACGAACAAAACACTCTCTAGCTGGAGAGTCAACAGAGGATGGAGGATGCTTTGGTCCATGGCCATGAGAAAGACTGAAAAGAGGCCAGTGTAGCTGGAGAGGAAGGAATGAAGTAAGGATTGGGATGGAGGAATATATGGCTAGAGAGGTATTCAGGAGTAAACCAAAAAGCACCAAAACACAAAACTAAGGGAATTACTCTATATCCTAAAAATACTGGGAAGCCTTTGAAGGCTTTTAAATTTGGGAAAGCGGTGGAGGGATCAAGAACAATGGGTGATGTCATTATCTTATTTACATTTTAAGTGATAGGGAAAAACGATAATTCATAAACATGGTTTAGGCCTAGTGAGAGAAACTATATCTCTCATCAGTTTAATCTGAGTTCATAACATTCTCTAGATCCTAAATGGTCCTAGTCACATTTCTGAGTCAGTTCTTTGCTTAGATGTATAATTCATTGACTCTTTTATTATTTTATTTTATTTTTATTTTTATTTTTCCATTAGTTATTGGGGTACAGGTGGTATTTGATTACATGAGTAACTTCTTTAGTGGTGATTTATGAGATTTTGATGCACCCATCACCCAAGCAGTATACACTGCATGATATTTATAGTATTTTATCCCTCGCCCCCTCCTACTCTTTCACCCATGTTCCCAAAGTCCACTGCATCATGCCTTTGCATCCCCATAGCTTAGCTCCCACATATCAGTGAGAACATATGATGTTTGGTTTTCTATTCCTGAGTTATTTCACTTAGAATAGTAGTCTCCAGTCTCATCCAGGTCACTGCAAATGCCGTTACTTCATTCTTTTTATGGCTGCGTAGTATTCCATCAGATATATAAATGCATTATATCATATATATTTAATTCAGATTACATAATATATAATGTATTATAATATATATACAATGCAGATGACATCACACACACACACATAGATATATATTAAATGCAGATATATATATCACAGTTTCTTTATCCACTCATTGATTGATGGGCAATTGGGTTGGTTCCACAATTTTGCAATTGTGAATTGTGTTGCTATAAACATGCGTGTGCAAGTATCTTTTTCGAATAATGACTTCTTTTCCTCTGGGTAGATACTCAGTAGTGGGATTGATGGATCAAATGGTAGTTCTAGTTTTAGTTCTTTAAGGAATCTCCACACTGTTTTCTATAGTGACTGTACAAGTTTACATTCAACCCAGCAGTGTAGAAGTGTTCCCTGTTCACAGCATCCACACCGACATCTACTGTTTTTTGATTTTTTGATTATGGCCATTCTTGCAGGAGTAAGGTGGTATCACATTGTGCTTTTGATTTGTATTTCCCTGATCATTAGTGATATTGAGCGTTTTTTCATCTGTTTATTTGCCATTTGTCTATCTTCTTTTGAGAACTGTCTATTCATGTCTTTAGCCTACTTTTTGATGGGATTGTTTGTTTTTTACTTACTGATTTGCTTGAGTTCGCTGTAGATTCTGGATATTCCTCCTTTTTCAGATGTATAGATTGTGAAGATCTTCTCCCACACTGTGGGTTTTCTGTTTACTCTGCTGACTGTTCCTTTTGCCATTCAAAAGCTCTTTAGTTTAGTTAAGTCCCAGCTATTTATCTTTGCCTAAGCCAATATCTAGAAGGGTTTTTTCCAATGAGTTCTTATGTGTTAAGTGAGTATCCTGAAGGCAGCAGATAGTTCCTTGGTGAGTTCTTATCCATTCTGCAGTTCTGTATCTCTTAAGTGGAGCACCTAGGCCATTTACATTCAGTGTTAGTATTTAAATGTGAGGTACCTTTGCGTTCATTGTGCTCTTTGTTGCCTGTGGACTTTGTGTTGTTTTTTTGTTTTGTTTCTTGCTTTTGCTTTTTAGCTTATATTTTTGTTTTATAGGTCCTGTGTAATTTATGCTTTAAAGAGGTTCTGTTTTCATGGTTTCCAGGATTCCTTTCAAGATTTAGAGATCCTTTTAGCAGTTCTTGTAGTGGTGGCTTGGTAATGGTGAATTCTCTCAGCACTTGTTTGTCTGAAAACGACTGTATCTTTCCTTCATATATGATACTTAGTTTCTCTGGATACAAAATTCTTGGCTGATAATTGTTTTGTTTGAGGAGGCTGAAGATAGGGCCCCAATCCCTCCTAGCTTTTAGGGTTTCTGCTGAGAAATTTGCTGTTAATCTGATAGGTTTTCCTTTATAGTTTACCTGGTGCTTCTGTCTCACAGCTCTCAAGATTCTTTCCTTTGTCTTAACTTTGGATAACCTGATGACAACGTGCCTAGATCTTTTTGTGATGAATTTCTCAGATGTTCTTTGTGCTGCTTGTATTTGGATGTCTAGGTCTCCAGCTAGGCTGGGGAATTTTCCTCAATTATTCCCCCAAATATGTTTTCCAAGCTTTTAGAATTCTCTTCTTCCTCAGGAACACTGGTTATTCTTAGGTTTGGTTGTTTAATGTAATCCCAGACTTCTTGGAGGCTTTGTTCATATTTTCTTTTTCTTTTTTCTTTGTCTTTATTGGATTGGGTTAATTCGAAGACCTTGTCTTTGAGCTCTGAATTTTTCTCTTCTACTTGTTCATTTTTATTGCTGAGACTTTCTGGAGCATTTTACATTTCTAAAAGTGTATCCAAAGTTTCCTGAATTTTTTATTGTGTTTTCTTTAAGCTATCTGTTACATTGAATATTTCTCCCTTCACTTCTTGTATCATTTTTTGGATTTCCTTGCATTGGGCTTCACCTTTCTCTGGTCCCTCCCTAATTAGCTTAATAAGTAACCTCCTGAATTCTTTTTCAGGTAAATCAGGGATTTCTTCTTGGTTTGGATCCATTGCTGGTGTACTAGTGTGATTTTTTTTGGGGGGGGGGAGGGTGTTGAAGAGTCTTGTTTTGTCATATTACCAGGTTTTCTGGTTCCTTCTCATTTGGGTAGGCTCTGTCAGAGGGAAGGTCTAAGGCCGAAGGCTGTTGTTCAGATTCTTTTGTCCAGTGGGGTGTTGCCTTGATGTAGTACTCTCCTCCTTTTCCTATGGATGTGGCTTCCTGTGAGCCAAACGGCAGTGATTGTTGTCTCTCTTCTGGTTCTAACCACCCAGCAAGTCTACCCGGCTCCAGACTGGTACTGGCGGTTGTGACACTCTGTTCGCATCAGAGTTCTGTGATGTGAACCGTCTATGGGTCTCTCAGCTGTGGATACCAGTGCCTGTTCCGGTGGAGGTGGCGAAGAGTTCGGTGGATTCCCTGAGGGTCCTTAGCTTTGGTGGTTTAATGTTCTACTCTTGTACTGGTTGGCCTCCTGCCAGGAGGTGGCGCTTTCTAGAAAGCATCAGCTGTAGTAGTGTGGAGAGGGACTGGTAGTGGGCGGGGCCCTAGAACTCCCAAGATTCTATACCTTTTGTCTTCCGCTGCCGCGTGGATAGGGAAGGACCATCAGGTTGGGGCAGGGCGAGGCGTGTCTGAGCTCAGACTTTACTTGGGCGGGTCTTGCTGCAGCTGCTGTGGAGAATGGGGGTAAGATTCCTAGGTCACTGGAATTGTGTACCTAAGATGATTATGGCTACCTCTGCTGAGTCATGCAGGTTGTCAGGGAAGTGGGGGAAAGCCAGCAGTTACAGGCCTCAGCCAGCTCCCACACAAACCGAAGGGCCTGTCTCACTTCTAACATGTCCACGGCTCCCCAACAGCCCTGAGTATGTTTACAGGTGGAGGGCGAGAGGGGCTTGAAACTTGCCTGAGGCTCTCCGCCTCCCAGCTGCCAAAGAAAGGGCTTTAGTTCCCTGCCCCCCACCCCCGCCCCTTCCGCCGCCTGTGAAGGGACCCACCGAGCTCCCAGGGCCTTTCTGCTGCTTCCTCTACCCCTGTATTTTGCTCGGCTCTGTAACTTGACTCAGCTTCAGGTAAAGTCAGAAACTTCTGCAAACAGACCTTCAACTTCTCCTGTAGGGGTATGTGTTCGGGAGAGGAGGGTCTCCCTTTCCCACTTTTGTAGCTGGGGCACTCACAGTATTTAGGGTGTTTCCCAGGTCCTGCAGTAGTCCGCTTCCTTCAGAGGGTCTGTGAGTCCTCTCAGGATTGCTGATTTGTTCTTTTAGTTGATCTGGCGCTAAAATTCACAGTGCAAGTCTCCAGATGCTGTTCTATCTGGAGCTGCAATGTAGTCCTGCCTCCCATCCGCCATAATCCCCTCCATCTCCTAATTCCTTGACATGTGAGAAACCCTTCAAATTTATGCTTCTGGAAACCCTGAGAATATAAAGATCATGGCATTATTCCAAGAAGAGATGTCGGTTTATTTAATGTACTTTATTAAGCAAGATGCAAGTCAGATGTTATGATTTTCAGTTACAAGTTTTTCCTATATCTATAATTTGAAGATTATAGTATACTGAAAGCATTAGCTTTGGGCTCAATTATAAATGTATTATCCAAAGAACTTGCTGTATTATCCAAATTTAAATATAAAATAGTCTTTCAATAACGATTGAGTTCTAAAAGTAAAAATAAAAGGAAAGAAATAATTATACTTTAGACAAAAAACCGTACTCAATTTAACACATACCAGACACACACACACACACACACACAGACACACACACACTCCACACACACAATTAGCCTGGTGGGCTATAAGTAGAGTGAATGAAAAATAAGCTACATTGTTTTATTTTTATTGTGTTAATGCAGTAATGAAGTTAAAATAAATGCGATGTCTTCTTTTGAAAGGTATCTGTTCATGTAATTTGCCCTCTTTTTAATGAGGTTGTCTTTTTCTTGTGAATTTGCTTAAGTTCCTTATAGATTCTGGATATTAGACCTTTGTCAGATGCATAATTTGCAAAAGTTTTCTCCCATTCTGTAGGTTGTCTGCTCACTCTCTTGATAGTTTCCTTTGCTATGCAGAAGCTCAGTTTAATTAGATCCCATTTGTCAATTTGTGGTTTTGTTGCAGTTGCCTTTGGTGTCTTCTTCATGAAATATTTGCCTATGCCTATGTCCTGAAAGATATTGCCTAGGTTGTCTTCCAGGCTTCTATAGTTTTGGGTTTTACATTTAAGTCTTTAATCTATCTTGAGTTAATTTTTGTATATGGTGTAAAAAGGGGTCCAGTTTCAATCTTGTGTATATGGCTAGCCAGTACCATTAATTGAAAGGGAATCCTTTCCCCATTGCTTGTTTTTGTCAGGTTTGTCGGAGATCGTATATGTGTAAGTGTGTGGCCTTATTTCTGAGTTCTCTATCCTGTTCCATTGGTCTATGTGTCTGTTTTTGTATTAGTACTATGCTGTTTTGGTTACTGTAGCCCTACAGTATAGTTTGCAGTCAGGTAGCATGATGCTCAACACCAGTGATCATTAGAGAAATGCAAATCAAAACCACAATGAGATGCCATTGTACACCAGTCAGAATGGCTATTATTAAAAGGTCAAAAAATAACAGATTCTGGCAAGGTTGTGGAGAAAAAGGAATGCTTATACACTGTTGGTGGGAGTGTAAATTAATTTAACCATTGTGGAAGACAGTGTAGCAGTTCCTCAAAGACCTAAAAATAGATATACCATTCGATCCAGCTATCCCATTATGGGATATATATACCTAAAAGATTACAAATTATTCTATTATAAAGACACATGTATGTATATGTTCATTGCAGAATTATTCACAATAACAAAGACATGAAATCAACCTAAATGCCCATCAATGTTAGACTAGAAAAAGAAAATGCGGTACATGTACAACACGGAATACCATGCAGCTGTAAAAAAGAATGAGATACTGTCCTTTGCAGGGACATGGATGAAGTTGGAGGCCATTGTCCTCACCAAACTAACACAGAAACAAAAAAAAACAAACATTGCATGTTCTCACTTATAAGTAGGAGCTAAATGATAAGAACACATGGGCACACAAAGGGCAACAACACACTCTGGGGCCTTTCTCAGGGTGGAGGGTGGGAAGAGGGAGAGGATCAGGGAAAACAACTAATGGGTACTGGGCTTAATACCAGGGTGATGAAATAATCTGTATGACAAACTCCCATGTCACAAGTTTAACTATATAACAAACCTTCACATGTACCCCTGAACTTAAAAGTTAAAAAAATAATAAAAAATTAAAATTAAAATGAATGGGATAATATTGTAATTCAGAAAATTGCTACTAATCAAAATGGGAAATCAATGAATGATTGATATGTTTTTTCATAAAGGACTAATTATAATACTATGCTTTGGGATTTTGCAAGATACTATAATGAACTCATAGATACCTTCAAGTGTTTCTGACTATCACCTACCATAGGAAATACATTTTATTTGTACTTACACATACAACACACAAACTTACACACATATGTGAAAAATGAATTAAAGTCTCCTGAAGCAATGATCACCCTTTTCTTTGTTGGGCATGCTAGTATTTCCTCTTCTATTATGTCTTATCTTATTCTATCTCATTTTTATAAATACTGACTATATACTACTAAATTGATTTTATCATCAACTAATGCGTTATAACACATAATTTGTAAAAACAACTTATATACAGTAATGGTTGCTTTCTGCAGAGGAGTAGTAGAAAAATTTTTATTAACTTCTTCACACATCAAATATTGAGATAAAAATAAGAAAACACCTAGTTGATTGATTTTTCCAATGTGCAAATATTCAGGCAGTTATTTATATTATTTATATTGATATCATTTATGCAACTTGTAAATCTGTGCTTAACTGTTGTTCAAATAGCCTCATGGTAAGGGTCATTCACATTGTGCTGCAAGGAAATTTTGAAGGACTTTATTTTCAAATTGTTATTTGGATATATGTGAATCAAGATGTAATAACTATCTTGGCTCCAGAAGTTCTTTAAATTTTTATCCCCATGTGAAAATGTGTATTTATCGCTCTATTAGGGACAATTAATCAGGGAAATCTCAAATATTAATTCCAAACATGCACCATCAGTGGGCTGAATAACTGTGCATATGAATAATGTATATGTCCTTCTGTGTATCTATGGTTACTGCAATTTCCTCTTACGTTGTAATTTGTAAAAGTTATACAAGAGGAGTTTAAAAATAGTAGAGTGTAAATGTGACTGGCGAGAGGAGTTGGTAACAATAGACAACAACCCAGAAGAATATTAACTAATCTACCTCAATAGGACCTACTGTACCTTACTTGTGAATACCTGAATCCATCCCCAGTAGGTCTAGGTGGATCAAAGGGACCATAGAGAACAAAACCAACAATTGCAAAAGATCTCACATAAACGGACTACTAAAATCACTTGTCTTAAACCATGGGTGTTAAAAAAAATCTATATTTTCTGATTCATTAAAAGCACATTTTAGACCACATATGTAACCTAAACCCTATTATTTTTTAGATAACAGCAAAGAGTTAATATCTCTACTTTCCAGCATGTGAAATTCTGCTGTAAAGCTTTATGGTATTCTTTTCTTAAACCTTTTTCAGTAGAAGATAAAAAAACTGCCATTTCAAAGCTGCAACAAGTTTTTCCAGTCACAAGAATTGAAGCCTCATTGTTCTATTGTTTTGGGAAATAAAATGAACATTTGAAAAAATCTTTTAATTTCATAAATGTGAGATCCACACCCTCCTCAGAAATAGGGAGATTTCAGATGCTGTGGTTTTTCCAAGGTTGTATAGGCAGGGATCATGTTTCCTTTTGAGAAATGATTATTGGCTCTATATGGATTTAAAGTTTGCTTTATGTGAAATGGTGGTTATACTCATGGCATTCTTTTTTTTTTTTTTTTTTTTTTTTGAGAAGGAATCTTGCTCCGTCGCCCAGGCGGGATGGAGTGCAGTGGCGCGAACTTGGCTCATTGCAAGCTCTGCCTCCCAGGTTCACGCCATTCTCCTGCCTCAGCCTCCTGAGTAGCTGGGACTACAGGTGCCCGCCACCACACTGGCTAATTTTTTTTTTTTTTTTTGTATTTTTAGTAGAGACAGGGTTTCACCATGTCAGCAGGATGGTCTTGATCTTCTGACCTCGTGATCCGCCCACCTCGGCCTCCCAAAGTGCTGGCGTGATTACAGGTGTGAGCCACTGCGCCTGGCCACTCATGGCATTCTATGTAGCTTTATCTGATCTATTTATTTGGGGAAGACAAGGAGATGAGAAGGGATTTGATTGCAGTTTTGGTTACTGTAGCCTTGTAGTATAGTTTGAATTCAGGTAATGTGATGCTTCCAGCTTTGTTCTTTATGCTTAGGATTGCCTTGGCTATTCAGGCTCTTTTTTCGGTTGCATATGAAATTTCAAATAGTATTTTTAATAATTTGGTGAAGAATGTCATTGGTAGTTTTATAAGAATAGCATTAAATCTGTACATTGCTTTGGGTGGTATGGACATTTTAACAATATTGATTCTTCCTATCTATGACCATGTAATGTTTCTCCATTTGTTTGTGTCACTTCCGATTTCTTTGAGCAGTGTTTTGTGATTCTCTGTGTGGAGATTTTCACCTCCATGATTAGCTGTATTTCTAGGTATTTTATTCTTTTGTGGCTATTGTGAATGGGATTGCATTCTTGATTTGGCTTTCAGGTTGGGTGTTCTTGATGTATAGGAATGCTACTGATTTTTGTACATTGATTTTATATCATGAAAATTTCTAAAGTTGTTTATCAGATCAAGCAGCTTGTGGGCAGAGACTATGGTGTTTTCTACATATAGAATCATGTCATCTACAGAGATATTTTGACTTCTCATCCTCCTATGTGAATACCTTTTATTTTTTTCTCTTGCCTAATTGCTCTGGCTAGGACTTCCAAGAGAGAGGGCATCCTTGTGAGGGATGGCATCTTTGTCTTCTGCTGGTTTTCAAGGGGAATACTTGCAGCTTTTGACCATTCAATGTGATATTGGCTGTGGATTTTTCATAGATTGATCTTGTTACTTTGAGGTATGTTCCTTCAGTGCCTAGTTTGTTGAAGGTTTTTAACATGAAAAGATGTTGAATTTTTTCAAAAGCCTTTTCTGTGTTTATTGAGATGATCATACAGGGTTTTTGTTTGTTTGTTTGCTTTTTAGTTCACTTTATATGGTTTGTCACATTTATTGATTTGCATATGCTGAACCTTCATTGCATCCCAGGGATAAAGCTTACTTGTACTTCGTGGATTAGCTTTTTAATATGCTGCTGGATTCGCTTTGCCAGTATTTTGTTGAGGATTTTTGCATCGATGTTCATCAAGGATATTGGCCTGAAGTTTCTTTCTTTGTTGTGCCTCTGCCAGGTTTTGGAATCAGGATGATGCTAGCCTCACAGAAAGATTTGGGGAGGACTCCCTCTTATTTTTCGGAATAGTGTCAGTAGGAATGGTACCAGCTTTACCTTATACATCTCGTAGAATTTGACGACAAATTTTTCTGGTTCTGGGCCTTTTCTGGTTGGTAGGCTTTTTATGACTGATTCTTTTTAAGAAATCATAGTTGATCTGTTCTGGGATTCAATCTCTTCCTGGTTCATTCTTGGGAGTTTGCGTATTTCCAGAGGTTTATCAGTTTCTTCTAGGTTTTCTAGCTTGTGTGCATAGAGATGTTTGCAGTAGTCTCTAAGGCTTTCTTATATTTCTGTTGGGTTGGTGTTAATGTTCGCTTTGTCATTTCTGATTTTGTTTATTTGGATCTTCTCTCTATTTTTCTTTATTAGGCTAGCTAATGGTCTATTTTATTAGTTCTTTCAAGTAACCAGCTACTGAATTCATTTATCTTTTATATGGTTTTTTACTAGTTCAGTTCTGATTTTGGTTATTTCTTGTCTTATGCTAGCCTTGGGATTGTTTTGCTCTTGTTTCTGTAGTTTTTCTAATTGTGCTTTTAAATTGTTGATTTGAGATCTTTCTAAGTTTTAGATGTGGGTGTTTAGTGCTATAAACTTCCCTCTTAACACTGCTTTGGCTGTGTCCCAGAGATTCTGGTATGTTGTATCTTTTTTCTCATTAGTTTCAAATAATTTCTGGATTTCTGCCTTAATTTAATTATTTATCGGGAAGTCATAAATATTGGGAGCAAATTGTCTAATTTCCATGTCATTATATGGTTTTGAGTGATTTTCTTAGCATTAATTTCTATTTTTATTGCATTGTGGTCTGAGAGCATTGTTGGTATGATTTTGGATTTTTCACATTTGCTGAGGATCATTTTATGCCTGATTGGTTGATTTTAGAGTATATGTCATGTGCAGATAACAATGTATATTCTGTTTTTTTATAGGTGGAGAGTTCTGTACATGTCTATTAGGTCCATTTGTTCAAGTGCTGAGTTAAGGCTTCAAACATCTTTGCTAGTTTTCTGTGTCAGTGATCTGTCTAATATTGTCAGTGGGGTATTAAAATCTCCCACTTATATTGTTTGGTTATCTAAGCCTCTTCACAGATCTCTAAGAACTTGCTTTATGAATCTGTGTTCTCCTATGTTGGGTGCCTATATATTTAGTATAGTTATGTTGTCATGTTGAATTCAACCCTTTACCATTATGTAGTACCCTTCTTTGTCTTTTTTGATCTTTGTTGATTTAAAGTCTGTTTTTTTGTGTGTGAAATTAGAATAGCAACCCCTGCCTTTTTATGTATTTGGTTTGTTTGGTAGATTTTTCTTCATCCCCTTACTTTGAGACTATGAGTGTCATTGCATGTGTGATGGATCTCTTAACGACAGCATACCATTGGTTTTGCTTCTTTATTCAACTTACCACTCTGTGTCTTTTAATTGGGGCATTTAACCCATTTACATTCAAGGTTAATATGGATATTTGCAAATTTGATCCTGTCATGTTGTTAACTGGTTACTTGTTATTAACAAACAGAATTGTTTGTTTGGCTGCTTTATATTATCACTGATCTATGTACTTAAGTGTGTTTTATGGTGGCTGATAATGATCTTTCCATATTTAGCACTCCCTATAGTTCTTAACTCCAGTCACCCTAGTCTGCTATAACATGAGGATGCATGTATCATGTTGACATACTGATTTCCTTTTCTTTGGAGAGACAGCCAGTAGTGGGATTGCTGGATCATGCAGTAATTCTTTTTTTTTTCTTCTAGAAATCTGTATACTGTTTTCCACAGTAGACATATTCATTTACATTCCCATCAACAGTGCACAAGAGTTCCCTTTTGTACTCATCATATCCAGCATCATTTTTTTTTCTTCTTTTAAAACTTGTTTCTCAGGTTCAAGAGTACATTTGCAAGTTTGTTAAATAGGTAATTGCATGCCACAGGGGTTTGGTTTATAGATTATTTTGTCTGTCAGGTATTAAGCATAGTACCAGTGGTAGTTTTTTTATCCTGACCCTCTCCCACCCTCCATCCTCAAGTAGGCCCTGGTGTCTGTTGTTGCCTTTTTTGTGTTCATATGTACTCAATGTTTGTTTGTTTATGATTTAGGATCTCACTGTCAGCCAGGCTGGAGTGCAGTAGAGCAATCACAGTTTACTGCAGCCTCGACTTCTTCAGGCTCAGGTGATCCTCCCACCTCAGCCTCCTGGATAGCTGGGACTACAGATATGCATAACCATGCCTGGCTAATTTTTCAGTATTTTTTTTTGCAGAGACAGAGTTTTGCTATGTTGCCCAGACTGGTCTCATCTCCTGGGCTCAACCAATCCAACTTGCTTAGCCTGATCCTCTCCCTCCCTCCTCCCACCCTCCACCCTCTGAAAGGCCCCAGAGTATGTTGTTCCCCTCTATGTGTCCATGTGTTCTCATCAGTTAATTTCTATTTATAAGTGAGAAGATGCAGTATTTGGTTTTCTGTTCCTGCATTAGTTTGCTGAGAGTAATGGCCTCCAGCTCCATTCATGTCCCTGCAAAGAACATCATCTCATTCTATTTTTATGGCTTCACAGAATTCCATCATGTATATGTACCACATTTCCTTTATCTAGTCTATCATTGATGGCCATTTGGGTTGATGCCATGTCTTTGCTATTGTGAATAGTGCTGCAATGAACATGTGTGTATGTGTCTTTTTAACAGAAGGATTTATATTCCTTTGGGTATATACCCAGCAATGGGAATGCTGGGTCAAATAGTATTTCTGTGTTTAGGTCTTTGAGGAATCACCACACTGCTTTCTACAATGACTGACTTAATTTATACTCCTACCAACAGTGTATATGCATTCCTTTTTCTACACAACCTCATCAGCATCTCTTATTTTTTGACTATTTAATAATAGCCATTCTGACTGGGGTTAAATGGTATCTCATTGTGATTTTGGTTTGCATTTTTTTTTTAGTGATAAGTGATGTTGAGCTTTTTTCATGTTTGTTGGCTGCATGTATGTCTTCTTTGATAAGTGTCTTTTTACGTCATTTGTCCACTTTTTATTGCAGTTGTTGTTTTGTAAATTTGTTCCTTATAAATGTTGGATATTAGACCTTTGTCAGATGCATAGTTTGCAAAAATTTTCTCCTATTCTGTGGATTGTTTACTTTGTTGATACTTTCTTTTGCTGTGCAGAAGCTTAGTTTAGTTTTATTCCATTTGTCAATTTTTACTTTTGTTGCAATTGCTTTTGGCGTCTTCATCATGAAATCTTTACCTGTGCCTATGTCCTGAATGGTATTGCCTAGATTGCCTTCTAGGATTTTTATAGTGTTGGGTTTTACATTTAAGTATTTAATCCATCTTGAGTTAAATTTTGTACGTGGTATAAGGAAGGGGTTCAGTTTCAATCTTGTGCATATGGCTAGCCTGTTATCCCAGCACCATGTATTGAATAGGGAATCCTTTCCTCATTGCTTGTTTTTGTTAGGTTTGCTGAAGATCAGATAGTTGAAGGTGTGTGGTCTTATTTCTATGTTCTCTATTCTGTTCCATTGGTCAGTGTATCTTTTCTTGTAACAGTACCATGCTATTTTGGTTACTGCAGACCTGTAGTATTGTTTGAAGTTGGGTACTGTGATGCCTCCAGCTTTGTTCTTTTTGTGTAGGATTTTTTGGCTACATGGACTCTGTTTTGGTTCCATATGTATTTTAGAGTAGTTTTTTTCTAGTTCTGTGAAGAAAGTCACCTGTAGTTTAATGAGAACACTATTGAATCTATAAATTCTTTTGGGCAGTATGGCCATTTTAACGATATTGATTCTTTCCACTTATGAGCATGGAATTATTTTCCATTTGTTTGTGTCATCTCTGATTTCTTTGAGTACTAGTTTGTAGTTCTCCTTGTAGAGATCTTTCACCTCCCTAGTTATCTGTATTCCTAGGTATTTTATTCTTTTTGTGGCAATTGCGAATGAGAGTTTGCTTATGGTTTGGCTCTCCGCTTGACTGTTGTTGGCATATAGAAGTGTGAGTAATTTTTACACATTGAGTTTGTATCCTGAGATTTTTCTGAAGTTGTTTATCAGCTTAAGAAGCTTTTGGGCTGAGATGATGGGGTATTCTAGATATAGGGTCATGTCATCTGCAAACAGGGATAGTTTGATTTATTCTCTTCCTATTTGGATACCCTTTATTTCTTTCTCTTGCCTGATTGCCCTGGCCAAAACTTCTAATACTTTATTGAATAGACATGATGAGATAGGCTATCCTTCTCTTGTGCTGCTTTTCAAGGGGAATGCTTCCAGGTTTTGCCCATTCATTATGATGTTGGCTATGGGTTTGTCATATATGGCTCTTATTATTTGGAAGTATGTTCCTTCAATACCTAGTATATTGAGCATTTTTAAAATGAAGGAATGTTTAATTTTATCAAACACCTTTTCTACATTTATTGAAATAATCATGTGGTTTTTGTCTTTAGTTCCATTTATGTGATGAATCACATTTATTGATTTGCGTATGTTGAACCAACCTTGCATACCAGGGATGAAGCCTATTTGATCATGGCAAATACACTTTTTGTTGTGCTGCTGGATTCAGTTTACCATCATTTTATTGAGGATTTTTGCTTTGATGTTCATGAAGGATATTGACCTGAAGTTTTTGTTGTTGTTGTTGCATCTCTGCCAGGTTTTGGTATCATAATAATGCTGGCTTCATAGAATGATATAGGGAGGAGTCCTTCCTCCTCAGTTTTTTTTTTTTTTTTTAATAGTTTCAGTAGAAATGGTACCAGTTCTTCTTTTACATCTGGTAGAATTCAGCTGTGAATCCATCTGGTCCTGGGCTTTTTTTGGTTGATAGGCTATTTATTGCCGCTTCAATTTCAGAACTCTTTATTGGTCTGTCAGGGATTCAGTTTCTTTCTGGTTCAGCCATGGGAGGGTGTATGTGTCTCAGAATTCATCTATTTCTGCTAGATTTTCTAGTTTAATATATCATATTTTCTTCATTATTCTCATGATGAACATTTAGGGTGATTTCATGTCTTTGCTATTGTGAGTGCTGCTGCAATGAACAAAAGCATGCATGTGTCTTTATGGTAGAGTTATTTATATTTCTTTGGATATACCCAATAATGGGATTTCTGGGTCAAATGGTAATTCTGTTTTTAAATTCTTTGAGAAATCTCCAAAGAGCCTTCCACAGGGGCTTAACTAATTTACATTCCCACCAGCAGTGTGCAGACATTTCTTTTTTTCTGCAACCTTCCTAGCATCTGGTATTTTTTGACTTTTTAATAATAGCTATTACGACTGGTGTGTGATAGTATCGGATTTTGGTTTTAATTTGCATTTATTTAATGATTAGTGATGTTGAAGCATTTTTTTCATATGCTTGTTGGCCACGTTTATGTCTTCTTTTGAGAAGTGTCTATTCATGTCTTTGCCCATTTTTTAATGGCAGTGTTTTTTGCTTGTTGATTTGTTTATGTTCCTTAGAGATTCTGGATATTAAACCTTTGCCAGATGCATACTTTTTAAATATTTTCTCCCATTCTGTAGGTTGCCTGATTACTGTGTTGATAGATGGTTTTGATGTGCAGAAGGTCTTTAGTTTAATTAGGTCTAATTTGTTCCTTTTTATTCTATTGCAGTTGCTTTTGGCATCATCATCATGAAATCTTTCCCAAGGCCTATGTCCAGAATGGCATTTTCTAGGTTATCTTCTAGGGATTTTTATAGTTTTAAGTTTTACATGTAAGTCTTTAATCCATTTTTAGTTGATTTTTGTATATGGCATAAGCAAAGAGTCCGGTTAAAATCTTCTGCATATAACTAACCAGTTATCCCAGCACCATTTATTAAATAGAAAGTCCTTTCTGTATTGCTTGTTTTTGTAGATTTTGTTGAAGAGCGGCTTCTTGTGGGTGTCCAGCATTATTTTTTGGCACTCTATTCTCTTCCATTGGATAGGAAGAATCAGTATGTTAAAATGGCCATATTGCAAAAACCTATTTGCATATTCAATGCTATCAGTCTACCAATAATATTCTTCACACAATTAGAAAAAATGACTATATTAAAATAAATATGGAACCCAAAAAGAGGCCAAATCTCCAAGGCAAAAAGAGCAAAACTGATATGCAGAAAATTGAAAGTGAATCCATTTCTTACACTTTATACAAAAACTAACTCAAGCTGAAAAAAAAACTTAAGTGCAAAACCCAAAACTATAAAAACCCTAGAAGAAAATCTAGGCATTACCATTCAGGACATAGGCATGGGCAAAGATTTCATGACAAAAACATCAAAAGCAATTACAACAAAAGCAAAAATTGACAAACAGAATCTAATTAAACTAAAGAGCTTCTGCACAGTAAAAGAAACTGTCATCAGAGTGAACACAGAGCCAACAGAATGGGAGAAAATTTTTGCAACCTATCCATCTGACAAATGTCTAATATCCAGAGCCTACAAGGAACTTAAACAAATTTGCAAGAAAAAAAAAAAAACCCTAAAAAGTGAGCAAAGAACATGAACAGGAACTTATCAAAAGAAGACATTTATGTTGCCAACAAACATATGATCATTAGAGAAATGCAAATTAAAACCACAATGAGATACCATCTCATGCCAGTCAGAATGGCGATTATTAAAAAGTCAAGAAACAACAGATATTGGTGAGGCTGCAGAGAGATAGGAATGCTTTTACACTGCTATTGGGAATGTAAATTAGTTCAACCATTGTGGAAGACAGTGTGGTGATTCCTCAAAGACCTAGAACCAGAAATTCCATTTGACCCAGCAATTCCATTAAAGGGTATATACCCAAAGGAATATAAATAATTCTATTATAAAGATACATGCACATGTATGTTCTTTGCAGCACTGTTCACAATAGCAAAGACATGGAATCAACCCAAATGGCCATCAATGACAGACTGGATAAAGAAAATGTGGTACAAATCCACCATGGAATACTACACAGCCATAAAAAGGAATGAGATCCTGTCCTTTGCAGGGACATAGATGGAGCTGGAAGCTATTATCCTTAGCAAACTAACACAGGAGCAGAAAACCAAACACCACATGTTGTCGCTCATAAGTGGGAGCTGAACAATGAGAACACATGGACACAAGGAGGAGAACAACACATGCGGGCCTGTTGGAGGGGTGTGGCAGGGGAGGAAGAGCATCAGGAAAAATAGCTAATGTATGCTGGGCTTAATACTTAGGTGATGGGTTGATAGGTGCAGCAGACTACCATGGCACAGGTTTATCTATGTAACAAGCCTGCACATGTACCTTGGAACATAAAATAAAGAATAAATACTCAGAAAAAAATTCAAAGCTGAAGGTATCACATTACCTGACTTCAAACTATACCACAAGACTACAGTAACCAAAACATCATCGTGTTGATATTCTTTGTAGTAGCCATTTTAGCTTGGGTAAGATGATACCTGCATGTGGTTTTGATATTCATTTCCCTTATGATTAGTGATAATGAGCATTTTTTTTTTTGATACGGAGTCTCGCTCTGTTGCCCAGGCTGGAGTGCAGTGGCACAATCTCGGCTCCCTGCAACCTCTGCCTCTTGGGTTCAAGCAATTCTTCTGCCTCAGCCTCCTGAGTAGCTGTGGCTACAGGTGCACGCCACCACACCCAGCTAATTTTTGTATTTTTAGTAGAGACAGGGTTTCACCATATTGACCAAGCTGGTTGTGTACTCCTGACCTCGTGATCCACCCGCCTCGGCCTCCCAAAGTGCTGGGATTACAGGCGTGAGCCACCGCGCCCAGCCGAGCATTTTTAAATATATAATTGTTGGCCATCTGTATGTCTTCTTTGCCAATTGCTTTTTCATGTCTTCTGCCCACTTTTTATTTTTTTTATTATTATTTTCTGAGATGAAGTCTCACTCTGTGGCCTAGGCTGGAGTGCAGTGGCATGATCTTGGCTCACTGCAACCCCTATCTCCTGGGTTCAAGATATTCTCCTGCCTCAGCCTCCCAAGTACCTGGGATTACAGGTGCACACCACCATGTTCAGCTAATTTTTTTTTCTTTTTTTTTTTTGTAGAGACAGGGTTTCACTATGTTGGCCAGGCTGGGCTTGAACTGCTGACCTCAGGTGATCCACCTGCCTTGGCCACCCAAAGTGCTGGGATTACAGGTGTGAGCCACCACTCCCGGCCCTGCGCACCCTTTAATGGAATGATTGGTTTATTTATTTGTTGAGTTGTTTGAGTTCCTTGTATATTCCAGATATTAGTGTCTTAATAGTTTGATGAATAGTTTGCAAATATTTCTTCCATTCTGTCTTAATAGTTTGGATGAATAGTTTGCAAATATTTTCTTCCATTCTGTAGGTTGTTTCTTCACTCTCTGCATTGTTTTCTTTGCTGTGCTGAAGTGTTTTACTTTAGTATAATACTATTTGTCTATTAAGGTCTTAGCCAGCAAATCTTTGCCTAGACCAATGTCCTGAAGTATTTTATGTATGTTTCCTTCTGGTAATTTAATAGTTTTGGTTCTTAAGTTTAATAATTTATCTTGAGTTGATTTTTGTTTATAATGTCAGAGAGTTCCAGTTTCATTCTTCTGCATATGGATATCTAATTTTCCCAGCATCATTTATTGAGGAGCGTATTCTTTCCCCAGTGGGAAAGGAAATCTTTGGCACCTTTGTCTAAAATCAGCTGGCTGTAAGTTGGTGGATTTGTTTCTGGGTTCTGTATTCACTTTCATTGTTCTATGTGTCTATTTTTATACCAATACCGTGATGTTTTGGTTACTATAGGCTTGTAATCTATTTTTACATCAGGTAGTGTGATGCCTCCAGCTTATGTTCTTTTTGCTGAAGATTGCTTTGCCTACACAGACATTTTTTTTAGTTTCTTATGAATTTTAGGGCTTAAAAATTGTTTAAATGATGACATTTTTAATAGGAATTGTATTAAATCTGTATGTTGCTTTGGGCAGTATAATTATTGTAATGAAATTAATTTTTCCGATCTATGAGCGAGATGAGTCTTTACATTTATTTTTGTCCTTGTCAATTTCTTTCATCAGCATTTTTCAGTTTTGCTTTTAGAGAGCTTTCTCCTTCTTAGTTAAATTTATTCCTAGGTGTTTTATTCTGTGTGTCACTATTATAAAGGGAACTGTCATCTTGATTTCTTTTTTGGCTATTTATTATTACATTATAGAAACACTTGTGATTTTTGTATGTTGATTTTGTATTCTACAACTCTACTGAATTTGCTTATCAGCTCAGAGATTTTTGGTGCAGTCTTTTGATTTTTCCAAATATATAAGATCATGTCATCTACAAAGATGAACAATTTGCATTCCTCATTTACAATTTGGGTCTCTTTTATTTTTCTTGCTTGTTTGCACTGGATGGGACCTCTACTACCATGCCAAATAGGAGCAGTTAAAGTTGGCATCCTTCTGTAGCTCCAGTTCTTAAAGAAAAGACTTTCACATTTTTCCTATTCAGTGTGTTGTTGACTGTGTGTTTGTCACATATGGACAAATGAATTGAAGATATAATCCTTTTATGCTTAGTGTGTTGAGAGTTTTTGTCAACAAGGGATATTGAATTTTCCCAAAGGCTTTTTCTGTGTCGATTGAAATGATCATATAGTTTTTGTCCTTCATTCTCTTGATATTATGTATTATGTTCCTTGATGTGTAGATGTTAAACCATCTTTACATCCCTGATATAAATACTACTTGATCATAGTGTATTATGTTTTTGAAGTGCTGTTTAATTCAGTTTGCTAGAATTTTGTTGAGGATTTTTGCATCGGTGTTCATCATGGATATTGCCCTGTAGTTTTCTACTTTGTGTGTGTCCGTATCTGGTTTTAGTATCGGGGTAATGCTGGCCTCATAAAATGAGATAGGGAGAGTTTCTCCCTCTTTCATTTTTTGGAATAATTTTAGGAAGATTCATATTAATTTTCATGCATTTGATAGAAATCAGCAGTGGAGCCACCCACTCCTGGGCTTTTTTTTTTTTTTTTTAATGGAAGGCTTTTTATTACTGCTTCAATCTCATTACTAATTGTTGGTCTATTAAGGTTTTCTATTTCTTCCGTATTCAATTCTGATAGGTTGTATGTTTTTAGGAATTTATCTGTTTCCTCTGGGTTTTCCAGTTTGTTAATATATAGTTGTCCCTAATAGTCTCTGGTAATCTTTTTTGTGGTATTAGTGGTAAAATGTCTCATTTTTCAGTTCAGATTTTGGTTATTTAGATCTTTTCTTGTCTTTGTTAGTCTAGTTAGTGATTTATTTTCTTTATTTTTTGAAAAATTAACTTTCCCTTTCATTCATTCTTTTTTTGTTTTTAGTCTCTATTTTGTCCAGTCCTGTTCTGATATTTATTATTTCTTTTCTTCTCGTAAATTGGGATTTGGTTTGTTCTTGCTTTTCTAGTTCCTGGAGATGTATTATTAGATTATTTATTTCAAATCTTTTTACTTTCTGATGTAGGTTTTTATTATTATAAACTTTGCTCTAAGTACTTTTTTTCCTGTAATCCACAGGTTTTAGTATGTTGTTTTTCCATTTTCATTTGTTTCAAGAACTATTTTTATTTTTGTCTTAATTTTTTCTTTGACCTATTGGTCATTCAGGAGCATGCTGTTTAATTTGTATGTATTTGTATTTAATTTGTATTGTATGTATTTGTATGTAAATTGTATACAAATTTGTATGTAAATTGTACACAAATTTGTAATTGTATTTGTACACAAATTTGTAATTGTATACAATTTGTACACAATTGTATACAAATTATACACAAATTTGTAATTGTATACAAATTTGTATGTAAATTGTATACAAATTTGTAAAACATTCCTCTGCTTTTTTGTTTCTACTTTTATTTCTTCGTTATCTGAGAAGGTACTGAATTGGAAACATTTTTGAGTCTTTATTTGTGGCCTAACATAGAGTTTATCCTGGAGAATGTTGCATGGGCTGTAGAAGAAAGTGTATTCTATAGTCATTGGGTTTAATGTTCTGTAAGTGCTTTGTAGGTCCGTTTGGTCTAAAGCCTAGTTCAAATCTCATTTTTCTTGTTGATTTTCTGTGTAGATTATCTGTCTCCTGCCAAGATTGTGGTGTTGAAGTCCCCCACAATTATTGCATTGAAATCTATCTCTCGCTAAAGATGTAATATTTGAATTATGAATCTGGGTGCCCTATTATTGGGTAATGTATCCTGTTGCAGGATTAATACTTTTTGTGGGTAGATGCTATGTATGTATATATAGTATTGGGGTATCTGGGATATTTTCATACAGGCAATACTGCATAATAATCACATCCTAGTAAAAGGGGCATCCATCACTTCAATTATTTATCCCTTCTTTCTGTTACAAACAATCCAATAATACTCTTTTAGTTACTTTAAATTGTACAATAAATGATTGGCAACTGTAGTTACTCTGTTGTGCAATCAAATACTAGTTCTTATTCATTCTGTCAAACTATATTTTTTTAATACATGAACAATCTCTACTTCCCTCTACTCACATTACCCTGCCCAAACTCATAACCATCATTTTACCTGTATCTCCATGGGTTCAATTGTTTTAATTTTAACTCCTATAAATGAGTGAAAACATGTTTTGTTTGCCTTTTTGAGCCTGGCTTATTTCATGTAACATAATGTCCTCCAGTTGCATACATGTTGTTGCAAATGACAGGTTCTCAATCGTTTTTTATGGCTGAATAGTACTCCATTGTGTATATGTACACATATGTTCTTTATTCATTAATCTGTTGATGGTCTCAGGTTGCTTTCAAATCCTGCCTATAGTGAATAGTGCTACAATAACTAGTGCTGCAATAAATGTGGGAGTGCAGATATGTCTTTATATACTGATTTCCTTTCTTTTGAATATATACCTAGCAGTGGGATTGCTGGATCATATGGTGGTTCTGTTTTAAGTTTTTGAGAAACCTCCAAACTGGTCCATAATGGTTGTACTAATTTACATTCTTACCAACAGAGTACAAGGGTTCCCTTTTCTCCACATACTCACCAGCATTTGTTATTGCCTGTCTTTTGGATATAAGCCATTTTAACTAAAGTGAGATAATATCCCATTGTAGTTTTGATTTGCATTATCTGATGACCAGTGATGTTATCACCTGTTCTGATACCTGTTTACCATCTGAACGTCATGTTTTGAAAAATATCTATTCATATCTTTTGCCCATTTTAAAATCACATTATTAGATATTTTCTATACAATTGTTCATGCTCCTTGTATATTCTGGTTATTAATCTCTTCTCAGATGAATTGTTTGCAAATATTTTCTCCCATTCTGTGCGTTGTCTCTTCACTTTGTTAATTGCTTCCTTTGCTGTGCAGAAGCCTTTTAAGTTGATGTGATCTTATTTATATATTTTTGCTTTGGTTGCCTGTGGTTTTTGGGTATTACTCAATGAATCTTTCCCCAGACCAATTTCATGGAGACTTTATCCAACATTTTCTTTAGTAGTTTCATAATTTGAGGCCTTAGATTTAAGTTTTTAATCAATTTTTATTTGATTTTTATATAGAGAGAAAGATAGTGGGCTAGTTCTGTTCTTCTGCATATGGGTATCCAGTTTTCCAAGTACCATTTATTGAAGACTGTCCTTTCCCCAATATATGTCTTACCACCTTTGTCGAAAATGAGTTCACTATGTATGTATGTTTTTATTTATGGGATCTAAATTTTGTTCCATTGGTCTATGTGTCTGTTTTTGTGGCTGTACCATGCTATTTTGTTTACTATGCCTCTATAGTATAATTTAAATCAGGTAATGTGATTTTTCTAGTTTTGTTCTTTTTTTCTCTGGATAGCTTTGGCTATTCTGGGTCTTTTGTGGTTTCATGTAAGTTTTAAAATTGTTTCTTTGGCCAGGCACGGTGGCTTATGCCTGTAATCCCAGCACTTTGGGAGGCTGAGGCGGGCGGATCACAAGGTCAAGAGATTGAGACCATCCTGACCAACATGGTGAAACCCCGTCTCTACTAAAAATACAAATATTAGCTGGGCGTAGTCGCACACCTGTAGTCCCAGATACTTGGGAGGCTGAGGCAGGAGAATCACTTGAACCCAGGAGGCAGAGGTTGCAGTGAGCTGAGATCGTGCCACTGCACTCCAGCCTGGGCAACAGAGTGAGCCTCCGTCTCGCCGTCTCAAAAAAAAAAAAAAAATAGATTTTTTTTTTTTCTATTTTTGTGAAGAACATCGCTGGTATTTTTTTTTTCTTTCTTTCTTTGGAGATGGAATCTCACTCTGTCACCAGGCTGGAGTGCAGTGGCGCACTCTTGGCTCACTGCAACCTCCATCCCTCAGGTTTAAGCATTCTCCTGCCTCAGCCTCCTGTGTAGCTGGAATTACAGGCACCTGCCACCATACCTGGCTAATTTTTGTATTTTTAATAGAGACGGAGTTTTGCCACGTTGGCCAGACTGGTCTCAAACTCCTGACCTCAGGTGATCCACCTGCCTCAGCCTCCCAAAGTGCTGAGATTACAGGTGTGTGGCACCACACCCGGTATTTTGATAGGGATTGCATTGAATCTGTACATTGCTTTGGGTAGTATGTACATTTTAACGATACTGTATTTTCTAATTTGTGAAAATGGAATATCTTTATATTTCTTTGTGTCTTCTTTGATTTCTTGAATCAGTGTTTTATAGTTTTCATTATAGAAGTATTTCTTTCCTTTCATTAAGTTTATTCCTAGATATTTTATTTTATTTGTAGCTATTGTAAATGGGATTACTTTTTATTTCTTCTTCAGATCATTTGCTGTTGTCATATAGTACTGTCTTTTTAAAAAAATGTTTTTGGCTTAAAGTCTATTTCTTCTGACATAATTATAGCTACTTCTGCTCACATTTGGTTTCTATTTGCATGGAAGATCTTTTTCCATCCCTTTACTTTCGGTCTATATATGCCTTTACGTGTAAAGTGTATTTTTTTATGCGTACTATGTAGTTGGTTGATGTTTTTGTGTTTTTTAATACATTTTTGGAACTAATCAACAAGGCTATTTGTTTTAAGTAGATACTTTAATCCATTTACAGCCAAGTTTATTATGATAGGTGAAGTTTTGTTCCTGTAACAATGTTAATTGTTTTCTGATTATTTTATCTATTTTTTGTTCCTTTCTTTCTCTCTTATTGATATTGTTGTAGTTTGGTGGTTTTATGTACTGGTACTGACTGAGTCCTTCTCTTCCTTATGTATGTTTGATTTACTAATCAGTTTTATATTTTCATGTGTTCTCATTATAGTAAATGTCTTCCTTTCCTTTCCATGTTTAGGACTCCCTTTAGCATTTCTTGTAGGTCCACCCTAGTGGTGATCAACTCCCTCAACTTTTCTTGTCTGGGAAAGATTTTATTTCTCTTTCATTTATAAAGGATAATTTTGCTGGATTTAATATCCTTGGCTAACAATTGTTTTCTTTCAGTGCTTTGAATATATCATCTAATTCTTTCTTGGCTATAAGGTTTCTGCTGAGAAATCTGCTGTTAGTCTGATGAGGGGTACATATATAGGTACAGATGTCTAGATGCCTTACTCTTCATGTTTTTAGAATATTGTCTTTGTCTTTGACTTCAGTTTGACTGTAATGTGCTATGCAGAATACCTTTTTGCGTTGTATGTTTGAGAATCTCAGATGCTCCTGTATCTGGATTTCTAAATCTCTCACTAACCTTGGGATGTTTTCATCTGTTATTTTGTTAAACATTTATTTTAACTCTTTTGCTCTCTCTTTGCCTCATAGGCCACCAATAATTTGTATATTTGATCACTTAATGGTATCCTTTATGATATGAAGGCTTCGCTTATTTTTTTTATTATTTTACATTAATTTTTATCTAACTGGATTATTTCAGAACATCTCTGTAAGTTATAAGATTCTTCTGCTTTATTTAGTCTATTGTTGAAGCTGTGTAATATAGTTTATTTTTCATTCAATGAATTCTTCAGTTCTAGAATATCTGTTTGGTTCTTTTTTTTTTTTTAGAAAGCTACCTCTTTGGTAAGCTATTCATATCTCCTTCATATCCTATATTATTTTTATGATTCTTTGTGTTGTCTCTCAGAATTCTCTTGCATCTCATTGAGCCTATTTAGAATCAATAATTGAATTATTTTCCAGAATTTCATAAATTTCTTTTTGATTGGTAAATGTTACTAAATAATAATTGTTTTCCTTTGGAAGTGTTATTTTATTTGCTTTTTCATGTTTCATATATTCTTAGGTTGATGTCTGTGCATCTGGTGTAACAGTCCCTTTTTCTAATTTTTTATATTTGCTTTTGTAGGGAGAAACATTCTCCTGAAGATATATCTATTATGTTGGCTGGGTAAGGCAATTTGGTTTTGATTCTGAGTATATGTAATAGCATGTATTTTCTTTATGATTTCTTCAGCTGTGAACAGTATCAGTGGTATCTGTTATTTCCTTGGTGGCTTAGAGTACAGTTATTCATGGAGGCTGTGGATAAGCTTCCCTGGGGCTGTGACACCAGGTAAGCCAGTCTTTGGGCCATTTGGGGCCCAAGGTGCCATACACTGGCACCATTGCTAGCAGATCCAGGTGGATCAGCCTCTAGGTGGCTTACTTGGATGCTGATACTGGCAGTAATGACCTAGGTAGGTGTGAAGATTCTCAGGCCCCTGTGCAGCTGGCATGACATGGAAAATGGCAGTGGCAGTTGTGGAGTGATCCTCTGGGTGCCAAACAGTGTGTGCTCATGTTAGCAGTTGTTGCAGTGGGTTGGGTGGACTACTGCCCAGACCTGCAGGTAGTACATGCAGGTAGCTGCCAGTTAAGGTGTTAATAGCTGGGTAGGTAAGTCTTATCTTAGGCCCCCAGAGGAGTGTTTCAGTGTCAATGGTGGTAGGCTGGGATGGGCAGTCCTCTGGCCCCTGGATTCTGTGCCCTGACCAAGAGTAGGGATGAAGCTGGGTCAGCCAGGCTTGTCCTCATGCCCCTCATCAGGGGTGTGTGCGGGCACCAGCCATGATAGGCAGGGTCAGGGCAATGCCACTGATGGAATTCTCATGTGGGGGGCAGCAGTAGCCACATTTCTGCCCTGCTGCTGGGCAAGGCGATGCTGCCAGAAGGTAGAAAGCATGTGCCGCTCACAGCTCAGCCCTGGCCCTGCTCATGCCTTACACTTTGCTGCAGTACATTGCCTGTTTTGTGCCTCAGCCCCAAGTGCAGTAGCCCACACCTCAATCACACCTCAGCACTTGTTGTGGTATCCTATACTTCACTTCACACCTCAGCCCTGGGAGCACCAGCCCACACTTCTCTTGTGCCTCAGCCCCAGTGCCTCTGGGCTCCTGGATAGCGTGCAATATGTTGGGGATGGGGCTCTAAAATCGAGCCTTTCTGTACCTGTTTATGACTCAGGGAATGCGTGGGACCCAGCATTAGCTCTATCTCTGGAACAGTACCATCGCACGATCTTCTGGCAACTCCCTATGTTAGTTTCAGGGCCCACGAGGGTCGAGGGGCTCTCTTAGGGTTAGGATTGTAGGCAGCCAGAAGAGAATGTAGGCTACTGATAGTCTCTCACTTCCCCTTTCCCTGTTTTGAGGAGTCTCTCTTCACTTCTAGCCAGTCCCAACAGAGTAGACTGCCTCACTACTTCTTCCTTCCTTGCTTTAGGTATTTCTTGTCACCTCTCTGTTGAATTCTAGAGTTCTGTCTTGAATGAGCTATGCAAAATGTGATTATCTGCTCACTATTTCATTTATTCTTAGTGGAGGAGGTGAGTACAAAATGCCTCTAGTCAGCTATCTTGATGTACTCTCTCAGATTAGATATTAAATGTCCTCTCGAAGGTGATACCAACAGTGGAAATTTATCATTAGTACATTTTTCCAAAAAACTTAACATACTTTAACATCATGAAGTATTTATTAAACTGCTGTATATACATGGCACAGTGCTCTGAAATGTTTTGCCCTGGGGATTTTGACACTAGAGATTATTATTTCCACGTAAAGATGACAAGATTTAGCAAAAAAGTAAAGTGAGTTGAAGATTCCCAATTCAGTGGCAAAGCTGAAACTAGAAGCTACCTCACATTTATATATTATTTACATATTTTAATTATGGGTTTATATTTTAATAATTGTGAGACTGTATTTTACATAAAGTTATCAATATTCTAAGCTTTTATGTATAATATTCACAATATGTAAATCATAATAATATAACAGTATTTACACTCAATATTTAGAGTATTTAAAATGATAATATACAACTATTTATTAAAACTAATTTTACTAGGGAAAATATTCATGTGGTCAGAAGTAAGTTTTGATGAATTATTATCATATACAGATTAAAATTAAAATTAGTTTATTTTGTTTTTTATGATACTCTGACTTCTTACTAACATTTGAGTGGGAATGTGATTGGCAAATCTTACCACTGACCTCTCACCTATATAAGAGTTCCTCACAGCTAAATGTTCAAGAATGATGGTTTTGATAATGATGGTTGTGCTAATAAATACAACGGCAAAGTTTTAAAATGTACTACCTTATTAAAAGCAACCCCATAATTTCTAATATAGCACTTCTCTGGTAATCTGCATGAGAATGTATTTCTTGGACTTAGAAACGTTAGTAAGGCTTCCTGCCATTTAACACTCCCCCAGACCACTCCATACCCCTAACATGGCCCAGGTCAGTTTATTGGTTAAGGATATAGGACAGATTGGCACACAGAAAATGTAAAGTTCAGGAGATAGTTCAGAAAGTTCAGAACTCAGTGGCAAATTATTTAACTTTTGTACATTTCTGACCACCTAGTTTTATCTACTTTTAATAAGCCTAATCTCTTGAAGCATCAAGTGACAAAGACTGCTCCTAATCTAAGTCAATTTACAGAAGCCATCTGTAATGGTTTTTAAACATGACCACAAATTATTTAGTACCAATTTTAGTGAGAAATTGGATGTATGCATACCCTCATGTTAAATCTAGGTTGATTTGCAAAGCTTCATCCGTGTAGTATTTAAAAAGTGATGCTATATTACTTCTGAAGCTAGCTTGTAAAAGGCCATACAGCTTTGTTCTTATTTACTGGAGCACTTTCTCTAGGAGCCTGGAGCCACCATATGGGAAGTCTGAATACCCAGACATTGTCTTGCTGGGTAGGCCATATCTATGTGTTCCAGCTGACAGAATTGAGAATCCACTGAGCCCAGCTTTCTAGTCATCTGTGTCAAGGCAATAGATACATGAATGAAGCCATTTCAGTAGACCAGTTTTTCTATCAGCTAAATACTATTTAGAGACTTGTGTAGACACCATTGGTTCTGTTTGAATTTCTGACACACTAACTTATGAGATTAAAAAATGATTGTTTTAATACACCAAGTTTTGGTGTGGTTTGTTATGTTACAATAGATAATTTAAACACCATGACTTCAGGAAAATAAGCTTTGCCTCTCCCATCATTCATTAAGTTTTATATTCATGTATATATACGACAGATATTTATGAATGTCTTCAATGTGCTATATCTGTTTGGGGCCGTAAGAATATAATGGTAAATAAAACACTAACCTTCCTATTTTCATAGAATTTATATTCTACACAGTAAAAGCCAATAAAAATGTTATAAAATATGTGCAATGTATCAATTGGTGATTATTGAAAAGATAAAGCAAAAATAAAACAGGATAACAACATATTGGAGAGTACCAGAGGTGAGTTACTATTTTATATAGCATGGCCATAAGTGGCTTATTTGACGTTATTTAATCAGAGTCCATAATAAAATGAGAATGTAAGTTATATGAGTATCTGAGGAAAGAACATTACAAGTAAAATGAGACCTAAAGAGAAGCAAATTTTTGGTATGTCTGAGGAAGACCACAACTAGGTCAGAATGGTGTGAATACAGTGAAAGAAGCAGAGAGTATCTTCAGGTAGGTTAACAAGATGTTCAACCATGTCGAAGGTTGCTTTTTTTTTGAGACGGAGTCTTGCTCTGTCGCCCAGGCCGGAGTGCAGTGGCGCGATCTCGGCTCACTGCAAGCTCCGCCTCCCGGATTCACGCCATTCTTCTGCCTCAGCCTCCTGAGTAGCTGGGACTACAGGCGCCCGCCACCATGCCCGGCTGATTTTTTGTATTTTTAGTAGAGACGGGTTTTCACCATGTTAGCCAGGATGGTCTTGATCTCCTGACCTCGTGATCCACCGGCCTCAGCCTCCCAAAGTGCTGGGATTACAGGCGTGAGCCACCGCGCCCGACCTGAACCATGTAGAAGCTTTTAAGATGGTAAAAGGCTTTTAATTTTATTCACAATGAGAAGATAAATCATTGTAGAATTTTAAATAGAGAAGTACCATGTCATGATTTAACTTTTAAAAGACGCTCTCTGGGTGATGGAGAGAGAAAAGAGTGTAGGAGGGTAGGGCCATAAAAAGAGAGACAACTTCTAATTTCTGCAGTAGTCCAGGTCAGTGAAGATGATGATGTAGCCTAATGTGGCTCTTGTGTAGGTGATTAATATAGTAAAATGTCTGTTTAGGATATATCTCAAAATGGAGTTGATATGGATAATATCCATGCAGCAGGTAGAAAGGTTGTGCACCTGTGATGAATATGACATTTAACTCATTTAAATATTTACCAGATTAGAGAAAGAAAGGTCTGCTGGACTTACACAGATGCTAAACATACAGACTTTCTACACTGCCTTTTGCTCAAGACCATCCCCCTATGATTTCAATTGTTTTCTGTTTCTCAAATCTCACCCTCCTCCAAACAACCCTCCCAGTTGGGACTAAAGTATTGGCTACCATCCTATTTACTGTTAACCTCATCAGCATGTGAATTTTTTAATTGTAATATGAATATAATGCCAGGCTGTAGCCATGGTGACCAGGAACTAAACATACATAGTTTAATCTTCTTTGAGAAAATTTACTTGTCCAGATTCTTCCCATGTCCTTGGCTTATCTTTGGACATAATTGAGTCTTCTTTATCTCATTTTGTCTTTCAACCATATACATTCTTTCTAGTTATATTGATGACCAAGACAATATTGGCACACACTTAAAATTTTCCAAGTACTTATGTCCATGTAATCTCTGTCTTCTTTACATGACTTCTAAATCAAACTTATTGGAGTTTACACATGTTCTTTATACTAATTTTGTTCCCATACCATTATATTTATTTCTTCAATTTATCAGATCCTATAAACCTTTCCTCTAGTAAGACATGACCCACTCAAGACCTCAAACACTGAGGAATCTGTTTAATATCGTGGTTTTGATACATGTTTAATTGTGTGGATAAGTGGGTGATTACTAGACAATAGAACATGGTTAGAAGTTTTCTTTATGGATTATTAGTGAAACATAACTAAAGGAGAATTATGATCTATTTGTCCTGATACCTTTGATCATAGGTACTAAAAGTGATATTTCCATGTCCTAGTAATTAATTCATACATTATTATTAAAAACAGGGACTAGAGCACAAATTAGGAATCCCAGAAGATATAAGATTAGAATGAGAATGAATTTGGGATGTTTATATTTAGTCTCTATTTTTCATACACGTGTTCATACATACATCTACAAAGTGCTAAGCTCTTTGTTACTAATTTTCACATCATGGTAATAAGTTAGCAAGAAAGACAGAATATATACTATTGGCTAGTTTGATAGAGCCAAAATAATATAGAGAAGCAAATCAAATCTGTGGGTAAATAGATACTGTGTTAGAGAAAATGGTATGTTTGCACCAAATTGTATTTGTTTCATCTTCTTGATAAGACTGTATTTCCCAACCTCTTTCACAGCTCAGTTAAGGTCAAGTGTCACTCTCAAGTATGGCCATAAAACTGCCCATACAATTTATCTATATTCTTTTTTTCCCTGTACTGTGGCAATCTTGGAGGTCATGTGTTTTAAACTGTTTAGTCACCTTATAAAAGGAACATGGTTTCATAAATCACCACATTGAGTACCAATACCACCCAGATTAACAACCCAACCCATATTGGCATGTGCCATGAGGAAAAATTAAATTTATGTTTATTACACCACTGAGATATCAGTGTTTATTACTTATTGCAGCCAAACATAGCCTATTCTCAGTTATGCATGGATGGAAAGGAAGGGAAGGGAAAAGGGAAGGGAGGAGGGAGGGAGAGAGGAAGGAGGGGAGTAGAGGGGAAAGGAGAGGAGGGGAGGAGAGGAGAGGGGAGGGGAGGGGAGGAGAGGAGAGGCGAGGGGAGGAGGGAAAAAAAGAAATATCAAATTCAGCACAAGGGGGAGAGAAGAAGCAGGGGAGATAAGTTTCTTGTCCAAAAGAGTAGATATGTTAGACATATGCCATTTTTCATTCTAATCAAAAGTCCCCAAGCACACAGAAACCATTGACCAGAATGTAACCATTTGTACATGCCAAGATAAAAATTATAGGTGTTTGTTAGTTTCACACTGATTTCTTCAAATTAAGCAATTCAATTATGAATTACCACAATGTAGCTTTATTTGTCCATAGCTTTTTATTTTTTAATGTATTTTCCAGCAAATTTTTTCTTAGTCAAAGACATACTTCAGTGAATCTCAGAAGCATCTTCTCTTCCAGAAAACTCATACCTGTTCATTTCAAGTCATTATACACTGGCAGCTGAGGAAGACAGCTGTTATCTAAATTCCATAAATACTCTGTGGAGGCTAAACTTTAGAACCTCAGTGATTCCAAACTAGCTGTGTTCTGAACTCTTGCATTTTGATGAGCCTCTCCTTTTATTGCCTTCCTGTATAAGAAAATGTTAACAAATCAGAGATCTAGATTCAATACCAGACTAAGGTGGTTGTATAAATGATACATAATTACTGGTGAAATGCCCATATTCTTACCATTAAAAATAGTGGAGTGGACACATTTACTATCCCTAGATGTCCCAGAATACTTATCTTGACCATAATGAGTTTTTTTATGATCCTTCATCATATAGAAAATTTACCACCTTTAAATGAACACATTGTTGATGCCCCCCCCCCAACACACACACTTAACTTTGCAGTCGTGTATGTATTTCTCAGTTTAATTCCTTAGGATGTATGATAGCATCTAAGGAATGTCTGTTATCTTCTCATAGGAGAAGAATAAGAAATAACTATCTTTACCTACTTTATCGTGTTAATGTGTTTAGCATTTTTATTCTATAGCACACTAATGACTTTTATGTACAGGTTTTTGGACTGAGTGCTTCTGGCCCAGCCACTTATATCATTGAGTATGGTTGATTTTCTGTGAACCTACACATTGCACTAATCTTTCTAATACAATGCTGGAGAATCAAGCTCAGAGTACAAAACGTTGATGTTATATTTCAAAAGGCAGATGGGATTGCGCATTATATTATATATTAGAAAAATAGGGAAGGGGTACTAAGTCTCCCTTGTTTTTCTCTTCAATTGGCCTGCCTACGGCTCATCAATACTGGAAATAAACAGCTCCAGAGGCTAAATGTGGCAAATGCAGCAAATTCAGCAAATCCAAGTCCCTTAGCATTATATAATGTTGACTGCATCCATTCTACAGAATTTTAATTTGATATCACTCTCATGTTAATCCATTTATACATTTTAGTGGGCAATAAAAGAAGTTATGGGCAATCACAAAAAGTACATAGTAGAGCTATGTGTGACACTGATGTCAGAAATTTATATTTTTGTGGAAAATTTTAAAAGGGGATCCCATGGTGGTAGATTTTTAAAATTCTAATAACAATTTTTTAAATTTCTAATAAATTAATTAGAAAAATAACTTAAATGCACCCAAGAGTGGTGAATTTTAAAAAATCACAAGGTAGGTAAAGCTTTAAGTGAAGTGATTAAAACTGAAAGTAAGGGCATTTGAGACATGAAAAGTGATCTAGGTCTTAAGAATTACAAACTGTGTGTAATGCATTTTACCAACAATAAAGTAACATGTTCTTTATCCTTGCGATTAATCATTATAGTAGTCCTTGGGCACCCAAACTAAAGTGAGACATAAATCAAATTGACCCAATCAACACTCAGTAACTTTAATGACATAAACAAGCAGCCAGCCTTTACCAACATCTTACTACATTTAACAGTCCCGTATTACTACCCAATGTGTGGAGACAGCACAGTAGGCCACAAAGAGTACCAGCTTATGGAATTTTGGTTTTACAGCCGTCACTAGCTTTATGAAATTGGGTAAACAATAAATTTTGTGGCCCTTCAGTTTCCTCTAAATAATGAAAACAGGAGTATCCATTCTTTCTTACTATGCAGGTAGCTGCAATTGTCAAGTTAATTTCTGTAAACCTATATTGAATATTATAGCACTCAAGACAATTGTGAAATATTAGATTCGCTTCCAAATAAATTTGTTTAGATGCATGGTGGTGTTTGTTTTTCTGGAAGAAAATTACTGAGCATCAATGGTAATCTCATATATATAGACCTCAGGTAAATATAGGCCAGATTTTAATTATTAGAAAAAGAGCTAAACTGAATCACTTAGGCTAAACAGAAAATGATAATTGAATTTAATTATTAACATAGGTGCCCATCTGTAACCCTCACTGGACATTAATCAGACCTTCATTAAGACACAGTTTTGTACTGATTTCCATGTTTTATAGATAATTTATAGAAACCGATAGAAACTGAGCAGAGTTCATATCATGAAAAAGGGGAGAAAATACAATTATTTAAAGAAAATGAGTTAGAGAATTGAACAATATGGAAGGTCAAAAGTTTAGTGTCAGTTTTCAAGCACTAGATAATTATTGAGATTCCTGCCTGTTCTTCTTAATCATTTTCATTTTAACCAACCATATATACTGATACAGTTATGTTCATAACACTGCACTGTGCCAGATTTAACAAAAATAACACCAACTAAAAAATTAAATATAGTCCTTCCCAAGGAAGCCGTGTAGGATTTTGCAGTCAATTTTGGGGGGAAATGGGCCAGCATAGATAAAGCATTTAAAAAACAATGCTTTCTTTACATCTATCATAAAGGTCCAGTATGACTTTATAAATGGGCCAGCATAGATAAAGCATTTAAAAAACAATTCTTTCTTTACATCTATCATAAAGGTCCAGTATGACTTTATAAAAAATTAGTCAAGGAGATTATTTGGAAAAGAAACTCCCATTAATGTTTTGGACTTTGAATCCTTTATGATATTTAATACTGGACGGATGAGTACCTGCCTTAGTTAAGTCCTGGAATATGAGATGTATTTTCTAGGTTTAGACATGCTATTATCTTTCTACTTTAATTCTTTTAAAAGTTTTAAAAGAGAAATTAAATGTAAGTTTTTGAAAAGACAATAGTTAATTTATTTGTATAAGGAAAAAGTCATCTCTAGTGAGTGATTGCAATTAAAAGTTAAAAACTAGCAGATGTATACTTTCCCTCTTATGCACATAAAAACCAAATCCATACTATTTCCTCTTCAGTTGTTTCTCCGTATATCTTCTCTATTACTATTTATGGCAGGATTATTCTCCCAGATATGCCCACTCTGAAACCTACTTAACTTTTCCTTCCATTTCCTTTACTCCTACATCCAAATGATTGGTTAAATGCCATTGAATCGACCACTGTACTATCTTTCCTTAATTCTACCAATTAATTTTTTCTTAATTCCACCTCTCTTAATTTCACCAATTACATTTAAATTTAAATTTCAGCTTGTAGTATTAAACCCCATTATTTATATTGCATGTTGTGGCCATACTTACCTCTCTAAAATTTTCTCTTATTGTCAAAGTGCTACTTTAAAATTTTCAGTGAATTAAGTTTGTCTAAAGCATGACATCTCAAAATGCCATCCCAGAGTCAGCAACATTAAAATCACCTTGGAGCTTCTTAGAAATACAGTGTGTGAAGTCTTACCCGGAAACAACTGATTCAGAAATTCTGAGGACGAAGCCTAGTAATCTGTATTTGAACAAGCCCTCCAGTTTTACATTTTGTTGTGTTGAGACTTTATTTTTAGAGCAGTTTTAGGTTTATAGACAAAATGAACAGAAAGTACAGAGAGTTATTATATACTCCAACTCCCCCACACATACATTATTTTTCTATTTTTAGCATCTGGCGTTAGTGTGGTACATTTTTTAGAGTAGATGAACCAATTAGAACATATTGCATTTTTTTCAAAATTCATTTTACTGTGGTAAGTACACAACATGAGATCTATCCTGTTAAATTTTTAAGCACAAAATAGTTTTGTTAACTATTGGTACAATGTTGCTTAGCTGACTTTTAGAATTTATTCATTTTGTATGACTTTCTGTATGTTTATTAACAACTCCCAACTCTCCATTTCTCCTACTCCCTGCTCCTGGCAACCACTATTCATTCCACTCTGATTCTATGAGTTTGACTATTTTAAATATCTCCTATAAGTGAAATCATGCAGAATCTGTTTTCATATTCCCGGCTTGTTTTCCTTAACATCATGTTCACAGAATTTATACATGTTGTCACATATTACAAAATTTTCTAGTTTTGAAGGCTGAATAATATTCCATGCATGTGTGTATGTGTACACACACATACACATACATATATATGTCTTACATTTTCTCAACCATCCATGGACATTTGGATTGTTACTGCATCTGGACCATCATGATTAGTGCTGCAGTGAACATGGGAGTACTAACGCCTCTTCAACATTCTGATTTCAGTTCTTTTAGAGAATTAACTAAAAATTAGTTTGCTAAATCATATCGCACGTATATTTTCATTTTCTTTTTGAGGAATGACCATAATGTGTTCCATAGCAGCTGCACCATTTGGCATTCCTAGCAATGGTGTAGAAGGGTGGCAACATCCCCACATCTTCACCAGTATTTTTTGTCTTTTTGAAGATAGCTATCCTGACAGGTTGAGGCAGTATCATTGTGGTTTTGATTTGCATTTCTCTGATGATTAGTGACTTTGAGCATCTTGTCATAAACCTGTTCGTCATTTGTATGTCTTATTTGGATAAACGTCTGTTAAAAGTCTTTAACCCATTTTAAAAATTGGGTGATTAGCTTTTTTTTGCTGTTGAGTTGTAGGAGTTCCTTATATGTTTTGGAAATTAAACCCTTATCAGATATATTGTTTGCAAATTTTTTTTTCCTATTCTTTAGGTTGCCTTTTCAATCTG
Source organism: Homo sapiens (assembly GCF_000001405.40). Taxonomy (NCBI): domain Eukaryota; kingdom Metazoa; phylum Chordata; class Mammalia; order Primates; family Hominidae; genus Homo; species Homo sapiens. Next base: position 33,774,180 of record NC_000023.11, read on the forward strand.
TTGATAATTTCCTCTGCAATGCAGAAGCTTTTAGTTTAATGATATCCCAATTGTTTATTTTGCTTTTTTTGCCTACGCTTTTGGTTTCATGTGCATAAAATCATTGCTAAGATTAATGTCATGATGCTTTTTCACTGTTTTCTTCTTGTAGATTTCTAATTTGAGGTTTTACACTTAAGTCTTTAATTCATTTTTAGTTGATTTTTTTGTGTGTGGTGTAAGTTAAGGGTCCAATTTCATTCTTTTGCGTGTGTATATCCAGTTTTCCCAACAACATTTATTAAAGAGACTATTCTCTCCCAATTGTGTATCCTATACTGTTTTAATTAACATAGCCGTGTAATATATATTGCTAATCAGGAAGTGTGATGCCTCCAGTTTCATTATTTTTTCTCTCGAGTGGTTTGGCTTTCTGGTGTTTTATTGTGGCTCCATATAAACTTTGGGTTTTTTTTTTTCTATTTCTGTGAAGAATGTCATTAAGATTTTGATAGAGATTGCATAGAATCTTTAGATAGCTTTGGGTAGTATGGTTGTTTTAACAACATTAAGTCTGCCAATCCATGAATGTAGAATATCTCTTTACTTGTTTGTGTCTCTTTCAATTTCTTTCATCAATGTTTTATAGATTTCAACGTACCAGTCTTCCACCTACTTACTTTACTCATAATTATTTTGTTCTTTTTGATGCTATTGTAAATGTGGTTCTTTTCCTGATTTCCATTTCAGATAATTCATTGTTAGTGTATAGAAATGCAACTAATTTTTACTCATTGATTTTATATCCTGGAACTTTACTGAATTTGTTTATTAGTTTTACTAGGTTTTTATGGAGTTTTTGGAGTTTTCTATATAGAAGGTAGAAGATTATGCCATTTGTAAACAGGGAGAATTTCACTTCTTCCTTTCTCATCTGGATGATTTTTACTTCTTGATCTTGCCTGATTTCTCTGGTTAGAACTTCCAGTACTATGTTGACAAATGGTGAGATTGGGCATCCTGCCTATTTCCTGTTCTTAGAGGAAAAGACTTAAGATTTTCCTATTGAGTATGATGTTAGCTGTGGGCTTGTTATATATGAACTTTTCTGTTAAAGTCATTTATTTCTATTCTTAGTTCATTGAGAGGTTTTTGTCTTCTGGTTGTAAAAAGATGTCACATTTTGTTTAAAGATTTTTATGTATCTATTGAAATGATCTTGTGGCTTTTATTCTTTACTCTGTTAATGTGGTATATCCCATTATTTTATTTTTATATAGTGAATCATCCTTGCATTCCAAAGTTAAATCTCACTTGGCTATGGTGTATGATCCTTTTAATGTGCTGTTGGGTTTAGTTTGCTAGTATAATATTGGAGGATTTTGGAATCCATATTTATCATTAATTTTGGACTGTAATTTTCTTTTCTTCCGATGCCTTTGACTAGCTTTTTTATCAGGATAATACTCACCTCAAAAAATGAATTTGGAAGTGTTCATTCCACTTCAGGTTTTTGGAAGATTTTGATAATATTTGATGTTAATTCTCATCTACGTGTATATTAGAATTCACCAGTAAAGTCACCAGGTTCTGGAAGTTTCCTTGTTGGGAGGTTTGGATTACTAATTCAATCTCCTTGCTGTTTATAGGTCTGTTGAAAATTTATATTTCTTTTCATGGTTTGATCTTAGTAGGTTGGGTGTTTCTAGGAATGTATCCATTGATTTTTTTTTTTCTAGGCTATCCAATTTGCTGGCATATAATCATTCATAGTAGTCTGTTATTATCATTTTTATGTCTATGGGTTCAGTTTTGTCTTCTTTTCATTTCTGAATTTATTTATTTGAATTTCCTCTCATTTTTTTAGTTTAGCAAAAATATTGTCAATTTTATTTCTTTTCAGAAAACTACCTCTTAATTTTGTTGATTTTTTTTTCAATTGTTTTTCTATGCTCTATTTCATTTATTTATTCTCTAATATTTATTATTTCCTTCTTTCTGCTAATTTTGGGTTGAATTTATTCTTTTACTAGTTTCATGAGGTATAGAGTTTGGTTGTTGATTTGAGATCTGTTTTATTTTTAAACGTAGGCATTTACTGCTATAATCTTCCCTTTTACTACTGCTTTTGCTGAATCCTATAAGTTAGGGTATCATGTATTTTTGTTTTCATTTGTCTCAACATTTTTTAAATTTTTTTTATTTCTTCTTTGACCCATGGTTGATCAAATGAGTTGTTTAATTTCCACATATTTGTGAAGTTTCTAGTTTTCCTTCTGCTATGGATTTCTAGTTCTGTTCCTTTTGTGGTCACAAAAGATATTTGGTATGGTTTCAATCTTATTTTTTATGTCTTGTTTTGCGACCTAACATGTGATTTATCTTGCAGAGTGTACCATGTCTGCTTAAGAAGAATGTATATTCTGTTACTTTTTTGTGGAATGATCTGTATAGGTCTGTCACATCCATTTGAACTATAGTGTTATTCATAGCCACTATTCCTTTGTTGATTTTCTGTCTGGTTGTTCTGTTCATTATTTGAAAGCTTTTATTAATACTATTGTTGTATTACTGGCTACTTATCCCTTCCATGCTGTAAATGTTTGCTTTATATATTTAAATGCTTTAACGTTAGCCACATATATATTTATAATCATTATGTATTCCTTGTGTATTTACACTTTTGTCATTACATATTAGTAATGTCCTTCTTTGTCTCTTGTGACAACTTTTTACATAAAATCTATTTTTCCTGATACAAGTATTGCCACCTTTGCTTTTTTGGGTATTATTTGCCTGTAATATTTTTTCTTTATTCTTCCGCTTTCAGCTTATATGAATCATTAAGTATAAAGCGAGTTTCTTATACACAGAATATAGTCATATCTTGTTTTTTTGTTTCATTCATTCACTCTATGTATGCTGCAAAATCCACTGATGGTTTTATGGGGATTTCCTTGTACACTTTCCTATCATTGTATTTTAAGTGTATGTTGTATATTCTGGATATAAGTACTTTGTCAGATATGTAACTCATAAACATTTTAACCTGGTCTATGATTGTCTTTTCATGCTTTTAACAGTCTCTTTCACAAAGTACTTTTTTATAGTTTTAATGAAATCCAACTTATCAATTATATCAACATATCTAAAAACTTATCACCAAACCCCAAATGTAAGATTTTCTTACATTTACCTTTGAAGAGGTTAAAGCTTTGTGCTTTATATTTAGGTCTATGATCCATTTTGAGTCAATTCCTTAATGTGTAAGGCCTGTGTCACATTCAGTATTTTGTATGTGGATATGCATTTGTTTCAGGATCATATGTTGAAAAATCTTTCCTCAGTTTAAGGATAGTTGTCTGTTTAGAATTGCATTTATTCCTTTGTTAAAGATAAATTTACTATATTTGTCTGGGTCTGTTTTTGTACTCTCCATTCTGTTTTGTTGATTTATTTGTCTGTTGTTTGCTAATACCATACTCTCTTGGTTATCATGCTCTTATAGTAATTACTGAAGTTGGGTAGTATTAACCCTTCAACTTAGTGCCTCTTCTTCAATATTGTTTTGGCTATTCTGTTTTTTTTTTATGTTTTTGCCTTTCAATATAAATTTTAGAATGAATTTATCAATTGATTTATCAATTGGATACAAAGTAACTTGGTGAGATTTTATTGAGATTGCATTCAATCTATAGATTAATTTGGAAAGAACTGACAATTTAACAATATTTAGTCTTCTTATCTGTAAACATGAGATAGCTGTCCAATTATTTAGATCTTCAATTGTTTCATCAGTGTTTTGTGGTTTTACTTATATAGAACTTGTGCATCTTTATACACACACACACACACACACACACACACACACACACACACACACACAAGGTCTTGCTCTATCACTCTGGACAGTGGTTGGAAAGGAGTGGCATGATCATGACTCACTGCAGTCTCAACCTCCTGGGCTCAAGCAATCCCCTTGCCTTAGCCTCCTGAGTGGGACTACAAGAGACTTTTGTATATTATCCTTCTATTCTGCAACCTTGCCATGATTGTTTATTAGTTCTAAGAGGTGTTTTGTTTGTTTGTTTTGGTTTGTTTGCTTTGGAGTGTTTTTTATGATTGCTTAGTATTTTTCATGTAGGAAGTTATGTCATCTGTTAACAAAGGCAGTTTAATTTAGTTATTCCAAGTCTGTATACCTTTTATTTACATTTCCTGTTTTCTGTTTCATCAGCTGGGACTTCTAGTATAATATTGAATAGGAGTGGTGATAGTGGACATCCTTGCCTTATTCCTGATCATAAGAAAAAATAATCTAGTTTCTCACCGTTAACTGTGATGTTAGCTGTAAGTTTCTTGCAGATGTTCTTTATCAAATAGAGAAAGTTCTCTTTCTAGTTTGCTGAATGATTTTTATCACGACTAAGTGTTGCATCTTTCTCAAATACTTTGTCTGCATCTGTTCGTATGATCATATGGTTTTTCTTCTTTAGCCTATTGATGAAATTATGTTAATTTATTTCTGAGTGTTGCACCAGTCTTGCATACCTGAGATAACTGCCACTTGGTAATAGTGTATATTTCTTTTTTTATAGTGATATATTTAATTTAGTAATATTTTTGAGGACTTTTACATTCATGTTCATGAGAGATATTGGTCTGTGCTTTTCTTTTACTTGCAATGTGTTTGTTTGGGTGAGAGTAATGTTAGCCTCATAGAAAGAGTTCTATTTTCTGCTTCTATCTTCTGGAAGAGGTTGAAGATAATTGGTCTAATTTCTTCCTCAAAAGACTGGTAGAATTCATCAGTGAAGCCATCTGGACCTGTTGCTTTTTGTTTTATAAAGTTACTAATTATTGGTTTAATTTCATATATATATATATATATTCATTAAGATTATTTATTTCTCCTTGTATGACTTTAGATAGATTGTGTCTTTAGAGGAATTGGTCCATTTTATCTAAATTATAAAACTTGTGAATATAGAGTTGTTCATAGTGTCCCTTTATTATTCTTTTAATATTTATAGGATTTGTAGTGATGGCTCTCCTTTCATTTGTAATATTAGTGATTTGTAGTAATTTATGTCTTCACTCTTATTATTTTTTTGGTGAGCCTTACTAGAGGTTAATCCATTTTCAAAGAATCAGTTTTCAGTGAGATGTGTCTTTGGGCTGTGCCTTTCACAGGTGCTTCTCAGCTTTCCTCTCTTCACTCCTTAGGTAATACAGGAAGGCTATAGAGAACTAGAGTTTGGTATTTACCTTCTACCAGATGGGTTAGCCTGTAGTCAAAATCTAGTTCAGGTTAGGCTCTGGTAAAATACTTTTCCTTGAGGCCAGGCCTTTGTTAAGAAGTATCCAACACTCTGGACAAATTTCAAGTGTTTATTTTTTCCCTTCCCCTGCTGAAAGCTTGAGGGAATTTTCCTCTGAAATGTCAAACTCTTTACATTTTGGACTAGAAACTAGAAAACCTCTAGGAGCTTTTGATGCACACTTGATTTTGAGAAGTACTGGCCTATAGGATACATTCTAAACTCTTTACCATGAATTCTAGGTTTGAATTAATCTGTCTCCACCAAGTTTCTAATGTTATTTTCTGTATTCTGCTCTCTCTATATTTTCTATTATTTTAAAAATATTTTTATATTCATTCCTATATTTTATCCTTCCCACTTTTTCCTTCTATCCCTTTGCCATTTGACTATAATGCTCTTTTCTTTCTCTCTTTCTCTACCTCTCCTATCTTTTTTTTGTCTCTTTCTCCGTGTGTATATATACACACACATATATATACACACATATATGTATATATAAAATCTCTAATGTGTATATATGTGTGTGTATAATCTCTAGTCTATAAAGATATCAATAATTCTTTTTCTTCAACACATATTTTAAGCGTTTATTAAGTAGCAGTAGAGGATAGAAGGAAAAAGAAAATATTTTTGCCGCTTTCCAGGAATTTATTAACCACCACGGGAGATAAAAACATCTATACAATTCCATGCCTTACATTTCACAGAAGTAAAAGTTTAGACACCAGTATAGTGTTTGTTTTTATACATACCTGTAGGGAAAAAAAACAAATGCCTAAATCATTTTCTAAGACCTATTTTGTTATTCTTGAAGTGCAACCCAACCAGTGTCATTGAAAATCATAAGCTACATAAACATCATATTTTATATTTTACATATGAACTATCTCATTTACAGAAAATAACTGCCTCTAGTGAAACGACTCAACTCTTTTCATTTAACCTTCTCATTAATTATTTTTAAATATTTTTCAAAATTATTTGGAATGTGCTAATTTGTAAGCCTATACATTGTAGGAAAGCAGTTTTTAATCACAAAACAGAGGTATCTAAATAAAGTTGCAGAAGATAGCTTCTCTGGTAATGATCAAGCAGAAATTTGATTTGTCACTGCATTCTACTAAAGTACCTTGAAGGAGAAAAGGCACCCGTAAGTATTTCCACAAAGCAGCCAAGTTGCCTCAAGATTGTGGCTTAGAGCATTACATGGTATCCCGCTGAAATGTGGCATCAATTGTTTTCAATTCCAAATGATTGCGGTTTTAACTCTGCTCGTAGTTGGAGACACAGAAACTATAGAAAAGTCAGAAGACCCTCTTTAGATTTATCACCTTGCATAATGATGGTGTACTTGTAATTTACTCACTCATTCAAAAATACTGTAGTGCTAATGTGATGGTTAACACTGAGTGTCAACTTGACTGGATTGAGGGATGCAAAGTATTAATCCTGGGTGTGTCTGTGTGGATGTTTCCAAAAGAGATTAACATTTGAGTCAGTGGGCTGGGGAAGGCAGATCCACCCTTAATCTGGTGGGCACAATCTAATCAGCTTCCAGCGAATATGAAGCAGGTGGAAAAACCTGAAAAGGAGAGACAGACCTAGCCTCCCAGTCTGCATCTTTATTCCATTCTGGATGTGTCCTGCCCTCGACCATCAGACTCCAAGTTCTTCAGTTTTGGTACTCGGACTGGCTCTCCTTGCTCCTCAGCTTGCATACAGTCATTGTGGGACCTTGTGATGGTGTAAGTTAATACTTAATAAACTTCCCTTTATATACACGTATATATATATCCTATTAGTTCTATCCCTCTAAGAGGACCCTGACTAATACAAATTTCTAGACAAATAGTTTCTGTTGTCATGTGGAAAGCAAAGAAATACCTTCAATGGGAAGTAGAAAACTTCCAGTGAAGCTTTTGATGTTAATTACACCTGAAGCATCCACTAACACAGTACTTCCCATACTTTATTGTACATAGGTATGACTTGAGACCTTGTTAAAATGCACATTATGATGCACTTTGGGCATGGCCGAAGATTCCTCATTTCTATAAGGTTCCTAGTTAATGCTGCTGCTTAATTAACTGTGACTAGCAAGACTCTAGTATATGGTAAGCTTTCTAAAAGAAGAGGCTGTATCTTACTTGTGTTTGCCCTTAAGCCTAGAGATATTTTGCTTACTTTTATTTATCACATCTATCTATCTCTCTAACTTCTAAAAGTTATTCAACGCTGTTCATAGAGAAATATCAGATATTTTAAAATAAGTTAAATTAAAAGAAACACGGAAATCAGGGCAAAAGGAAAAAGTAAGATTAAGGAATTTGTTAAATTTAGTTTTCTACTAGAAGCGAACCTACGTTGTGGCTCCGAACATTGATGCCCTTATGTCCTGGGCACAGTCTTGGTTTATGCCCATTGCATCAATGTAATTATTGATAAAAACATTTACTAGTCTAGGTTAAACGGAACAAGCGGATACCCTACTGTTAGCCCTGGTAAATAACTCTTAACCTGGAAAAACAATGCCTTACATTGATTAATGAGCAGTGTAATGTATGGATGGAAAGAGTCTTTAAGCAAATGCCCAGATATTGGAAAGAAAAGATCAGGATTCTATGATATTCTTAAAACAGTTATTAATTTTACCACTGTGAATATTGATGGCACATTAGACCTTAAAACTATAGTTATTTTACATATATAGGCAATGAATGTTTTTAAAAATATTATATATCAATAAAATATCTTGATTTTTTTAAACTATAAATTATTTTATAATATACATTATGATATTTATATATAAGTTCTTATCTTTAGGATTCTTGAGAATTAACATTTTAGAAAGAAAATATCTAGATGCAAATCTAGATATATAGGATGACTATTAATCTTACATTCCCTAAAGGGACCCACAAAAATAATGAGGGGCTTTCTCTTAGATGGATGACTTTTCATTTTGCAATTAAAAAGGGTGAGAAGGCCCTTCATCAAACTTTTATTTAGGGCAAAATAGGTGTCATGAAAGAACTTAAGGCCATTACTAATTAATAATATAAAGTAACAAAGCAGAAAAAAATAACCTTTCATAGATTTCCTGTAGGTTTTAAGCAGCTTCATTGATTAGATCTTGATAGTAGTAAGAATTCTAAGAAATACATAAGATAATTTAGAGTATGTTCAGATATTTATACTTATTATTTTTATATGCATAATTGTATTTGAAATTATATATAATTTAATTTCTTATTTTAGAAATAAGACTCTTTTCAACAAAAAACTTAAAATTTGCAATTATTAAATCTCTGCTGATGGCACTGCCCATAAAAAAGTTGTGTTTGCTAACCTAAGAGAAATTTACCTAATAAAATAATTTAATTGCAGAGATTGTCCTTGTTCTAAAATAAATAACATCTTCCTAAACATCTTACTAAAAGATCTCTTTCAAATCTGCTGGACTGTGTTGGATGCATCTATAGTGGACTTCCTTCAAGCCTGTCTTTCTTTTAATTTTAAATACATTTTCAATTTAAATAAAATGACCATATTCTATTTAAATTACTTGTTTAACTGTGTAACTTCCTCACCAGACTATTCATTCTATGAGAATAGCAGATGTGTCTTTCTTGTCTTTTTGATATCCAGCCCCTAGCATGGTACTCTGCATATAATAGAGGCTCAGTAAATAACTGTATATAAAGCAAAAGTTGATAAAGTTTTAGACATTTTGTATAGTAAAAACATAATCCAAACTATAGTTAAATTATTGTGATACAGAAAGTGGTAGATGACAGCAAAGTTATTTACCATCTAATCTGAATTTACAAAATATTAAAATAATGATTAATTTGTACAAAAATGTGATTGCAAGTGTAATATTGCTTTAGTCTATGTAACTATATGCTCCTTTGTTCCTTGCAATTTTTCAACATTTTCTATTGCTTCCTTTCATTGTTCATCCTCTTTCTTCAAGTCTCAATTTAAAGGTCATGTCTTCAGGGCAACCATTCCTGACTACAGTATTTTTGTGTGTTTCAATACTGTATTTATTTCCTTTATGGCTGTTATCACAAAATCCAGTTTTCTTCTTTATTGGTTTATTATCTATTTTCCTTCTATTAAATTCCATGTGAGCAGTGACATTGCCAGTTTTTACCATTGTATTCTTAACTCCTAGGAGATTGCCCAACAATTTAATGACAGAATTAATGGATGGATGGATGGATGGATGGATGGATGAATGGATGGATATACAAATTCAGAGATGTGACAGTAAGTTCAGCAAAACACATGTTCATGAAAACATAGAAAAAGTAAATAAGATAAAGCTATTCTGTTTCCCACAAAATAATTCCTGATGTATTTTTATGCTTGGATACACAAGCTACTGCTTGAGTCTAAAATTTATCAAATTCATATATTAGTAATCTAGGATCATACATCGTTGTTAAGCTATGTGTTTCTTAAGATCTACCTCTAATTTGACCATAGGCAATGAGGTTTTGGTGCTTTAAAAGCCTACTCTTGCTATAAAAGGGAATTTATCATTTTAAATTTTACTTTGTTAGAAATCACTTAAAATAATTAAACACAGTTTTTTAGTCAGTTTCAAGATATAGGACATATTATTTGTACATATGTAAGAATTTTTAATTTGGCATAATAACTTAAGACTTATTCTTTAAAGTGAATATTACATATGCATGGGAGGAGCTTGAACCTAGAGATATGGTAAAAATATATCAGAGCAATTATATAGCTTATCTTAAGATGACAGTGATTTCAAGGTTAATTCTTAGCCCAACGTATCCAGACGATTATTACATTCTGTTCCTCCTTGTGTAGGTCAGTCTGGCTGTTGAAAATGCTTTCTTACTTGATGAATCTTATCAAGTTCACATTGTGGCATTTTCTCCAGCTTTTAAATAATTTTTTCTCTAATGTGATAAAATGAGAGTAATAAGAATAATGCACAGTTGACCATCTTGAACAAAAAGTGTGGGAATACAGCGTTTACATAATGGAAAAAGAAGCAGAGAAGATAGGCTCAAATCTCCATGTCAGGGAAAATCTGAGTAGAAAAGAAATGACCTCATTTTTGTCAAGAGTTTCCTTCCTTCATTCCTTCCTTCCTTCCTTCCTTCCTTCCTTCCTTCCTTCCTTCCTTGTCTTTCTCTCTTTCCTTCTTTCTTTTTCTTTTCCTTTCCTTTCATTTCCTTCCCTTCCCTTTCCCTTCCCTTCCCTTTCCCTTCCTTTCCTTCCTTTCCTTTCTTTCCTTCTTCCCTTCCCTTTCCCTTCCCTTCCCTTCCTTCCTTTTCTTTCTTTCTCTCCTATCTCTCTCTCTCTCCCTTTCTTTCCTCCTCCTTTGTCTTTTTCTTCCTTCCTTTCTTCCTCTTACCTCTTCCTCCTCTGCCTCTTCCTTCTCTTACTCCTTTCTTCTGTCTTCCTAAAAAGAATAGTTTTTGACACAACACTCTGAATTTCTCTAGGGAAATACAGTACATTCATGTTTTAAATGTATACCTTATTGGATCATTGATGCCAAGGGACAAGTCAAGTCTACATCATAAAATTGGTAATCTTGTAGAGATCAGATTAATTGAAGTTGCTTTTTATAAAACTTCTTTTTTTTTATTTCAACTTTTATTTTAGATTGAGGGGGTACATGTGCAGGTTGTGCTACATGGGTATATTTTGCAATGCTGAGGTTTGGGGTATGGATTCCATCATGCAGGTAGTGAGCATAGTACCCGATAAGTAGTTTTATCACACATGCCCCACTCCCATCCTCCCCCCTCTAGTAGTCCAGGTTGTCAATTGTTTCCATGTTTATGTCCATGTATGCTCAATGTTTAGCTCCCACTTAGAAGTGAGAACCCACAGTACTTGGTTAACTGATCCTCTGTTAATTTGATTAGGATTATAGCCTCCAGCTTCATCCATGTTGCTGCAAAGGACAGAATTTTGTCATTTTTTTCTGGTTGCATAATACTCCATGGCATGTATGTACCACATTTTCTTTATCCAGTCCACCATTGATAGGTACCTAGGTTGATTCCATGTCTTTGCTATTGTGACTGGTGCTGCAATCAACCTATAAGTGCACATGTCTTTTTGGTAGAATGATTTGTTTTCTGTTTGGTATATATCCAGTAATGAGATTGCTAGGTCATGTGGTAGTTCTGTTTTAGGTTCTTTGAGAAATCTCCAAACTGCTTTCCACAGTGGCTGAACTAATTTACATTCACATTCCCACCAACGGTGTATAAGTGTTCCCTTTTCTCCACAGCCTCACCAGCATCTGTTGTTTTTTTGACTTTTTAATAATCACCAGTCTGACTGGTGTGAGACGGTATCTCACTGTGGTTCAGATTTGCATTTCTCTAATGATAGTGATAGTGAGCATTTTTTCATGTTTTTTTCATATGTTTGTTGGCTTCTTATGTGTCTTTTGACAAGTGTCTGTTCATTTCGTCTGCCCATTTTTTAATGGTGGTATTTGCTCCTTGCTTGTCAATTTAAGTTCCTTATAGATTCCAGATGCAAGACTTTTGTCACGTGCATAGTTTGTGAACTTTTTCTTCCATTCTGTAGGTTGTGTTTACTCTGTTGATAGTTTCTTTTGCTATGCAAATGTTCTTTAGTTAATTAGATCCCACTTGTCAAATTTTGTTTTTCTTCCAATTGCTTTTAGGGATTTAGCCAAAAATGATTTGCCAAGGCCAGTACCAGTAAGGGTATTTCCTACGGTTTCTTCTAGGATTCTTAGAGTTTGAAGTCTTACATTTAAATCCATCTTGAGTTTATTTTTGTACATGTTGAAAGATAAGTGTCCACTTTCATTTTTCTGAGTGAGGCCAGCCAGTTATCCCAGGGCCATTTACTGAATAGGAGTTAGTTTTCCTATTGCACCACTTATTTAATAGGGGGTCCTTTTTCTATTGCTTGGCCTTGTCGGAGATCAGATGGTTGTAGGTGTGTGGCTTTATTTCCGAGATTTCTGTTCTGTTCCATTGGTCTATGTGTCCATTTTTGTACCAGGACCATACTGTTGTGATTACTGTAGCCTTATAGTATAATTTGAAGTTGAATAGTTTAATGTCTCCAGTTTTGTTCCTTTTTCTTAGGATTGCTTTGGCTATTGGGCCTCTTTTTTTGGTTCCATGTGAATTTTAGAATAGTTTTTCTAATTCTTTGAAGAAGATATTGGTAGTTTGATAGGAATACTGTTGAATCTCTAAATTGCTTTGGGGAGTACAGCTATTGTTTTTGAGAAATTGCTGATATATCTAAGATTTAGGAAACATGGGACTAAAACTCAAAAATTATTTCATTGCTTAAAACTTGAATGTACAATAAGAAATAGTTTTTTTTTAAATTTTTGTCAGGCTTTAGTTCTCTTATTTTTAAACAGATATTTTGAAGTATAATGTGACATTCAGCCTCAAAAACGTCATGCTAAGTGAAAGAATCCAGATCCAAAAGACTACATATTGTATGATTCTGTTTGTACGGCATTTCTAGAAAAGGTAAATTTATAGAGATGGCAAGCAGATCAATGTTTGCCCTGCAGCTGGGGATGGGAATGTGGAATGATCACAAATGGGCACAAGAGAGCATTTTGAGGTGATTCAAATGATCTAAAGCTGGGTTACCATGATGATTGCACATCTAAAAATCATTGAATTGTACATTTACGAGGGGTGAAGTTTATGGCATGTAAAGTATGACCATTTTAACAATATTGATTTTTCCAGTTCATAAGTATGGGAATAATTTTTCATTTATTTTTATCATCTCTGATTTCCTTCAGCAGTTTTTTGTAGTTCTTCTTATAGAGATCTTTCACCTCCTTGGTTAGCTGTATTGCCAGGTATTTCATTTTCTTTGTGGCCACTTAAAATGGGCTTTTGTTCTTAACTTGCCTCTTAGCCTGGGCATTATTGGTGTATAGAAATGCTACTGACTTTCATACAATGGCTTTTTATCCTGAAACTTTACTAAAATTACTAGTTCTAGAAGCCCTTTGGCAAAGTCTTCAGGGTTTTCTAGGTGTAAGATTACATCATCAGCAAAGAGAGATAGTTTGATTTCTTCCTTTCTTACACTATCAGTGGGGTGTTGAAGTGTCCAACTGTTATATATGGCTGTCTAAGTCTTTTCATAGGCCGTGAATAACACGTTTTGTAAAACTACTTACTTCAATTTTGGGTGTATATATATGATACTTCAGTCTTTTTGTTGGATTATACCCTTTATCATTATGTAATGCCCTTCCTTTTCCTTCTTATTTTTATTGGTTTGACCCTTTTCCCACTTAGAAAAAGAAAAAGTGCAGCTTGCTGCCAGTGCTCATTTAATTTTATATAAAGACACTCTTAGAGGCTGAAGCAAATCTGACTGATTTTCAATATGAAAATAAAATATAAAAACTGTTCTTGGAGTTATTTCTAAACAGAACTAATATCACAATCGTCTGAATAATCAGAATTGTCTATTTTGGAAAAATCAAATTCATGAAATGAATCTTTGGCCAACAACTCTTTGAGAACAATGTTAACATCATGCGTAGAAATGCTGTGTTTTCTAGGATTTCACATTTTCAGTGATTGATAATTACTATATTTTGTAAATAGAAATACCACTACTAAAAACAGAATGCTATAAATAGAATTCTGTCTTTTGTTTCTAAAGTCAATATGCCAGAGTGACGTGAAAATAATAAAAGTAAGATATTTTGTGGAAAAATTACTACTCTCTCTCCCTACTGAAATGTAAACTCCATTGAGGCAAAGCTTTCTCTCATGTTTGTTCATTGCTGTATTTGAGCAACTATAACATTGTCAGATGTTCAATACACATTTATTGAATGACTGAATTAATATTAGGGGACTTATGTCATATACAGGTTCTTTGTTTTACATCTTGGGGGCTTCTGTTTTCTAATAATTTAAATCCTGATCAGTATATCATGCTGCTTCTACCACCCATAAATATACCTGCTTACTTGCTTCTTTCTCAAGTAAAATAAAACTCACAAGTTTTATTAAAGTTAACTAAGATGTCTATATTTTAATAAAGCATAGTTATTAAGCATACCAGAAAAGTGATATTATAAAGTTAGAATATTTATGCAGAGATATATTTTAAAATAAGAATCTTTAGAAACTGAAACTTAGAGTATAATAAATCAATTCATTTGCTTGCAATAGCAAATAGTTGTCACATAGAACTATATTAAAGAAATTTAATACATGTGAACATTACCAGTAGTTTCATGTATGGTGCAGTTTAGTAAAATTCTATCATAAAGTATTTTATAATTATACAAATAATTTAAAAGTTATTTAGTTTACTACACATCCTTTTTTTGGTTTTGTTTTTTACTTATCATCTTTTTCCATGACAGATGGTTCTCATAAAGCTATGAATTACAATAAACTGCCTTTTGGTTACCGGGATAGCCACATTACCCAGGCTTAACCAACTATGTTCATCAATATTACTGCCGAGAGAGAAAGTTCCAATTATACAGTTTCAGATTGTTGAATATACCAATCTGGCTTTGCACAGTTCTATGTACTAATAAACTACCTTCTTTGTAAAAATTAGCCTTCATTGATTTTCTTTTTTTAATTTTTAATTTTTGTGGGTCATAGTAGGTGTATATATTTATGGGGTACATAAGCTGTTTTAATACAGGTATGCAATGCATAGTAATTACATCATTGAAAATGGGATATCCAAACCCTTAGGCATTTTTCTTTGTGTTATGAAAAATCCAATTTCACTATTTTAGATATGTTTAAATGTACAATAAAATCATAATTAACCATTGTCACCCTATTGTGCTATCTAATATTAGGTCTTATTAATTCTTTTTAAATACTTTTTTTTACTCATTAACAATTGCCACCTCTCTCACCCTGACACCCATTACCCATCCCAGCCTCTAGTAACGTAACCCGCCTTCTACTCTCTATCTCCATGAGCTCAAAGGTTTTGAATTTTAGATCACACAAAACTATGCTTATCCTAAGTAAAAAGAGTAAATAATCAACCAATGAAAAATAATGACCATAACAACTTTTCATGGCATAGTTCAATAGGATATAAACAGAAACAATAAAAAGTTAAGAAGCAGAGAGACAAAGTTAAGACAGAGTTTTTACTCGGTTTATTTTTGCTTTTTTGTTTGTTTATGCAAATAACATAAAGTTGTTATCAGGTTAAATATTACCCACTCCACTGCCCTTTCCAGCCTTGAAAACTATCCTTCTACTCTATCTCCATGAAATTAATTGTGTTGATTTTTAGATCTCACATGTGAATGAAAACATGTAAAGTTTGTCTTTATGTGCCTAGCTTATTTTACTTAATGTTCTGTAGTTCCATCCCTGTTGTTGCAAATGACAGTACTACATTGTGTATATGTACCACATTTTCTTTTTGCATTTGTCTGTTGATAGACACTTAGGTTGATTTCAAATCTTGGATATTGCAAATAATGCTGCAACAAGCATAGAAGTGCAGATATCTCTTGGATGTACTGATCTCCTTTCTTTTGGGTATGTACCCAGCAGTGGGATTGCTGGATCATATGGTAGCTCAATATTTAGTTTTTTGAGGAACATGCAAATGATTCTTCATACTGGCTGTACTAATTTACATTCCCACCAACAGTGTGCGAAGGTTCCCTTTTCTCTGCATCCTCGCCAACATTTGTTTTTCTAGGGTAAGATGATATCTCATTATAGTTTTTATTTGCATTTTTCTGATGATCAATGATGTTGAGCACCTTTTCATATGGCCATTTGCCTTTTGTATGTCTTCTTTTGAGAAATGTCTATTCAAATATTTTACTCATTTTAAAAATCAGATTATTAGATTGTTTTCTACAAAGTTTTTTGAGCTCTTTATATATTCTGGTTATTAATTTCTTGTCAGATAGGTAGTTTGCAAATTTTCTCTTTAATTATCTGTGCTGTCTCTTCACTTTGTTGTTTAGATCAGGGGTTCCCAACCCCCGGGCCATGGACTGGTACTGGTCCATGGCCTGTTAGGAACTGGACCACACAGCAGGAGGTGAGCAGCACGAGAGTGAGCATTACCACCTGACCTTTACCTCCTGTCAGGTAAGCATTGGCGTTAGATTCTCATAGGAGCACAAACCCTACTGTGAACTGCAAATTTGAGGGATCTAGGTTGCGTGCTCCTTAAGAGAATCTAATGCCTGATATGAGGTGGAACAATTTCATCCCCAAACCAACTCCCCTCCTGTCCCAGGGAAAAACTGGCTTCCACGAAACTGGTCCTTGGTGCCAAAAAGGTTGAGGACCACTGGTTTAGCTCCTTTGTTTTACAGAAGCTTTTTCTCTTTATGTGATCTCATTTGTTTATTTTTGCTTTGATTGCTAGTGCTTGTGGGGTATTGCTCAAGAAATTTTTGCCCAGAACAATGTCCTGGAGATTTTCCCCAATGTTTTCTTGTAGTAGTTCCACAGTTTGAGATCTTAGATTTAAGTCTTTAATACATTTTGATTTTATATTTTTGTATAGCAATATGGGATCTAGTTTCCTTCTTTTGCATGTAACTATCCAGTTTTCCCAGCACCGTTTATTGAAGAGACGGTCATTTCCCCAGTGTATTTTCTTGGTACCTTTTTCAAAAATAAGTTCACTGTAGGTGTGTGGATTTGTTTCTGGGTTCTCTATTCTATGCCGTTGATCTACGTGTCTGTTTTTATTGCAGTAATATACTATTTTGGTTACTATATCTGTAATATGATTGAAGTCAGGTAATGTAATTCCTCCTTTTTTTTTTTTTTTTTTTTGTTAAGATAGGCTCGGCTGCTCTGGGACTTCTGTGGTTCCATATAAATTTTAGAATTGTTGCTTTTTCTTTTTTTGTGAAGAATGTAATTGCT